>NC_000012.12:39884370-40035885 GCF_000001405.40 Homo sapiens | reverse complement strand
ATTGATTTCAACGATATCACATTCTGTCAGAGCATATTTTACTTCTTCCACTATAATCATGACATTTTAAATAACCCTGGCCAAGCCACTTATATGCTGATATTAGTTTACTTGGTGGAGTCTTCTTCTAAGCTATGTAGACAGGGTTAATATTTTGTTATGTTTACTTACCTGGCAATTAGGGTTTGTTTGTTTACAGTGTATACAGAATCTTTCTCGAGGTAACACAGGTGTTGATCATTTGCGGATCATATATTACCTGCTTTTAACGTGAAAGATTCCATCTGTGCACATTGAAATTTTTCTTAGGTACCTTCAGCCATGGTCTTATGTTTATTCTCTAGCTGCCATCTGATTATCAAGTGTATCAGTCATCAGGGTGCATGTCTTACATGGTCCTTGGTGGCAGAGGAAAAGTAACTTTCCAGCCTGGGATCTCAATGTGGCAATGTTTTCTTTTCTGCTAAAATAGACTTGTGAAGCATGAACTAAAATTTAAAAATATGTTACCAAGTAAGTTGCTGTAACATAACTCTAGCAACTGGCTAAATTCAGTGTTATCTGTTTGCATCTAAAACTTTTGCATTAAGTAGAAACATATTACATAAATCATAACTTTGGTGACCATGTTATCATGTAAATATCTAGTTATTGATCAATAACGATGACCATTTCTTTTGTAAATCCATGGATAGAGATCTTTCAGTAAACACATCACTCATGTGATTATTCCTTCAGTATATGAAAAATTCAAAATTCATTGGAACATTGAACAATGTAGTTGGATAGCTCTGGATGTTAGACTGAGGGCACAGTGTTCTTGGATGAGGTTGAAGGGGTTTGAGTTATGCTTTTTTAAGGGGAAAATGTTTCACTGTCCTGTTTATCATTGGAAAGTTCCAGCTCGGGGGGATGCCATCTCTGGGTAAGTTTATTCATGATGCTCAGTGATTAGCTGTAGTGCTTGGCATTTAACATACATTCAGGAGATATTTGCTGGGTAAATAGCTGAGTAACAGCTCAGAGAAATCACAAGGCTTAGCTTTCCAAGCAAACACAATACATCTTCATTAGTTAGTGTTTTCAAAGAATCTATTGATTCTAATTGCTAACCCTTTTTATTTTCCGTGAACTAATGCAGGAAAAAAAGATTTTGAGTTTATTTTATAGTTATTTGTGAAAGAATACCAACTTGAAGCTATAGAATTTTAAAGAATACATCATCTTAATATTTATAATATTCCTCTGAGCTATTCAGAATGGGCTAACATGGACATGATTTGTTAATCAATAGCAAAAGTGCAAGCCAGAAGACAGAGTGGAAATAAAACTTAATTGGAATTACAGATACAGTTTTTTCATTTCCTTTTTTTAGTTTAAGACAGTATTGGATATTATTAGAGAATTTGCTAGAAAGCCCCACTGTACTCAGGATGACATTTCAGAGATTGTCAGTGAGCCAATCTTAGTGTTTCAGAAAGTATCAAGATTAACTGTGACTAAAAAGTATGAGGTGGTTATTTTGCTTGGAACCACAGTTTTGACAACATGAAGTTGGGAAACCAGTAAGGAAGTGATAGTTGACCTGTACCTTAATGCTTTCATGGCCTGTTGGGAGGATAATTGACTAAATGAGTATGGTGTCTGAAAACCTTTACTGTGCCTCTCAAAGTGAAAAGTGTCTTCTCTTAGTAGAATTCAGCTCCTCAAGGGCTACAAAAACAATTGCATGTTTTTAAAAAATACAATGTAGTGTAATAAACTTCCCTTAACTAGGATAGTTTTTCCATTACAGCTTGACTTAAAATGAAAACCACAGATCATATAGATCTTCCAGTGTAAGGCATTGGCAACTTTTTCATGTCATTTGGGTTAAGGAGGAACAGGAACATAGGGGAGAAGGGAAAGAAACAGAGCACAAATGCGGGATGCAGTTGTTCACTCCTGTACAATTTCTTCAGGAGGAGTGAGGCTTGGGGAAACCTTTGGGATGCAGAGATTGAAAAATAAAGAGAAAGCAACTTTCGATCTATCATATTCATCATAGAAAATATTTTCAAAGGATCAAATCCTTTAAAATCTTGCAGTCGAATATTTTTGCTCCTAATGGTTTTTTTTAAAAATACCTACCTTCTTGTTATCCAAATTTTTCCTGTATGAAAAGCTTACTAGTGTATGTTAAAGAAACATTAAATAAAACTTTAGTTTGGCACAGTGGTCAAAAGAAGCAGTACAAATTTACCCTTTACACATGAGGTATTTTAACTAGTAGTCAGCTATTTTAACAGTAATGCTCTTAGGGAGTTTTGATTTAGTAAGGATAGGTGTTGAGAAAATCACAGGATATTCCATTTCCTCCTAGCAGTTCTGTGTTATTTAAATCCAGCTTGCAGTTACCCAGCCCAGTGGGTGGTACTGTGTTGGGCACCTGTGCTGGGCACAATTAGGAGTGACAGCTCCCAGCCAGCCAGCTTTGCTTTTGCTTTTGCTTTGTTATTTCTGCAGTGTTTTACTGCATTTAACAGAGGTGAGGGAATAATACTTCCAAAGGGAACCTCTGAATTCTTTAAACATGAAGCTAAGGTAAATTAATGCACTTTTTAATGTGTTCTACAGAATTAATTATCAAGTAATTATTGAACAGTTAATATAGCTTGACTTACAATAAACATTTATTGTAGGAGCCAGACTTCCTGGATTTTAACTGTAGTTCTGTTGCATACTAACCATGTATCTTCTTTGTGCCTCATTGCTTTGTCTATAAAGTGGGGATAATAATGGCACTCGCCTCATAGGGTTGTTGTGAAATCATGGGAGTAAATGTTTCCTAACTGTTCTGAACAGTGCTTGGCACACGGTAACTGGTGCTACACATTAGCTGTTACTATTGCTATTAGTATTGTTGTTACTAAACAATTACATGTCTATGCTGAGATTGTGCATTCAACTAGATTTTCACATATTTGGAACATAATCATCACACCTCTGGAACTACGAAAGAGCAGATAACATGCTAACTCATGTTATCAGTTCAGAGAGGAGGTCAATGATCGTGAAGTGCAAAATTCTGTAACTTAAGGAAGCAGATATGAGAGGATTATTGTCGTTAGTTACATAGGTGAGAGCAGCAGGATTGCTTTAAAACAGGAATGAGAGTGAATGTTTAGTTCAGTGAAGAACCTGTTTGGTTTGTTGTGAGGCCCCTGGCCATCTGATGGAAGAGACAGCAGGCTTGCTCAGCTGAGCCATAGCAGGAGGTCTGGCCCCAGGAATGCAGGATCCACCATTCACAGAGCTTCCATCTCTGGAATTGAGAAGGCTTAACCTGAGGTGAAATTGGTGGGATTGTTCTTTGTTGACAGCTGGCCTAACCTTGTCTTTTGGAAGTATTCCTCTGCCTTTAAATGGCCTGCTTTGGTAGGCAGGTGCTGGTACTGCTAGCTGTGCCAGAAAATAGTTCATTTTGTAACTGTAAGTTTAGAAAATTTTAAATCTTTAGATGAGTGATCATGATGGTAAAGAACATACTAAAGATTTAAAAACTCATGAGAGCTTGGCATGTCTGCTTGACTGTGTGTTTGTCTGGTGCGCTTGCTTGTCCGTAGAAGGTAAATGGCTTTTGCCGTAAGGTGTGGACCTTGGGTGCTTGTTGTTCATGTTTACCCTGGGTTTTAAAAACATTTAGATCCTTGGTTCTCAGCCACAACTGCACATTAGCACCACCTGGAGAGCTTTTAATAAAACAACTCCCTGGGCCCAGAGTCCAGATCAATTAATCAAAATCCCTGGGGAAGGGTGGGGCCTGGAAACTGGTGGGTTTTACCAGCCTCCTAGGTGATTCTAATGTGAAGCCAGGTTTAGAAACCCTGACTTAATTTAGAATAATGAGATCTCTTGTATCAATAGGAGACTACTTGCTTTTCTGGGGACTGCCTGCCCCAGTGTATCACAATACTCTGTCATTCATCTAATTCCTGCTTTCCTTGGATTTAGAGGACTGGTAGTCCTACTACTGCCTTAGTTTAGTTTATGAAGAGCCTTCTCTTTTTGTCTCATGTTGAAATTTTTATTAGTACCACAGCAAAACAGCCTCTTATTTATCTTTCCTATTCTCCAGTCTGCACATCGTTAGAGGAATGTTTTTCTTAAGAAAGAAATTGGTTAGTTGTACCTGCTGAAAATTTAGTTGGGTGATACAGCCAGAACAAACACGTTACAGTGAATTGATTGCGTGGTTAGGAGTTCAGGGAGGTGAAACATTTTTTCCGAGCATCCTCTCTGCCTTGGTGAATGATTTCACTTAATTCCCCCAGCAGTCTTATGAAATAGATACTGTCACCTGTGTGTTAAAATGTTAAGTAACTTGGCCGAAAGCAGTGGCGCGTGCCTGTAATCCCAGCACTTTGGGAGGCCAAGGTGGGCGGATCACAAGATCAGGAGTTTGAGACCAGCCTGGCTGATATTTTGAAACCCTGTTTCTACTAAAAATACAAAAATTAGCCAGGCGTGGTGGCACGCACCTGTAGTCCCAGCTACTCAGGAGGCTGAGGTAGGAGAATTGCTTGAACCCGGGAGGCGGAGGTTGCAGTGAGCCGAGATCGCGCCACTACACTCCGGCCTGGGCAACAGAGTGAGACTCCATCTAAAAAAATAAATAAATAAATAAAATGGTGTAAGTAACTTGACCAGGTTCTTGTGGTTTGTATGCCCGGAGCTGAAGTGACACCCACATCCATTCCTGTGTCCTCTCTGTCATATAAGCTCTGATCTTGTGTATTGCATTTCTTCAAAGCCATGAAAATTATTCATATCAAAATATTTTCATCGTGAAAGGTAATTAAAACAAAATAAGCTTTCTCATTTTACTTTTAGAAGTATTAGGATACAAACGTATAAAACATTTTTTTATTGACTAATCTCTAGAAAGAAGCTTTAATATGCTTAAGGATTGGCAGGAGGGTACAAATTCCTTTTCCACACGTTAGGGCAACGGAATTGTACATTTCGGACCCAGACTCTTGCACAGATTTCAAAAGGTGGGAAGGCCTATTCTGTCTTCTGTAGCTCACTTAAGAAACACAGGCTAATATATATGTCTGTATTTTCCTTTTCTTTTTGTCTTCTCTTTTCTCTTCTCTTCTCTTCCCTTGTCTTTTTTTCTGTTTAAAAAAAAACTTGTAAAAATACTGCATCCTGGGATTTAATAGCAAGTAGCAGAGTGCAAAATATTATGTGAGCATCTTGGACCTGAAAATGATTCAGTTTCTACATTCATTTCAGTGCTTTTTGAAGTATTATCTGCTGCTTTTCTATCTTAATTCATGATCTTTCTTTGGAAAGATCATGAGAAGTGTAGATAAATGAAACATAAAGGCTTTCACCTTTAGGACTTTTAAAATTTATTTCCTAATCCAGTATATTTAGGGTCTACCTTGAAAAATCCCTTTTAAATAATGAGCAATATAGTATAAACATGTCTTTGACACAGCTCAGATGGAAGTTTTATTGATTTACAGCAATAAAACATACATTTAAATAACAGATTAAATTATACCAGTTAACATCTTAAGGGGAAGAGGCCAGAAGTACATATTTTTGTGAGCTGATCTCTGTAGCTCTCATCCGAGGACTCTTCCAGAAGAGACGGTCCAGTTATATCTAGAATAATGAATGGTTTGGTTGGAAGGAATTACTGAGCAAGTAAATTTGCAGAGCTAAATGACCCAGAAGAGTTGTTACCTAAGATATTGTCATATAAATCCAAAGCACAGTTATTTTCTGGTTAGTTAATGTAGAAAGTTTAGATATACAGGTGCTTATGTGTTATTTCATAAAATATGTACTCAATGCCTACTGTGTGCAAGTTAACTAAATGCTATGTTGAATACAAAGTTAAATAATATTAAGCAATTGATTGGGATAGCTAAATAATGTATTATAATACAAGATACAAAGACATAAATTAAGGTTAAACTGTGTGCTCTGTGGGTGAGCAGAGGCAGGAGTGACTAAATATTGGTGTAATTATCACAATCCATGGCCTAAAGCGTAAGACACCTCCAATAAGATTTAACACTGCAGGCCAACTGATTCATTTAGCCATTCATTCATAAATAGTTTATTTACTTTCCATATCCTGGTTAATTTTTCTGTTTCCATGTGTAGTTTAAGTTTGTAATTTGTAGTAGGAGGTATTCTTACTACCCATGTAATAATCATATTTTTTCTTCTACTGGTTTTTTAATTAAAATGAAATTGCTTGGAAAATAGCAGACTTATTTTGTGAGATTTATCTCTGGAGCCTTTAAGGCTACTATCAGTTTAGCATAGCTTAAAAGGTAGAATAGCTTTGAAAAATATATTGAGCCAAGTGACTTCCATGACTTATGCATATCAGTGTGGTTTGTTATAGAAATAGAATTGGCCTCCTGAGCTCTATTGTTAGGAATCTACCCTAGAACATACCTAGAGAAGTTGGATTAACAGAAAACATTCAGGTATCGTAGATGCATGGAAGTTTCCATTTGAAAGACAGCTTAAATTTTATCTAATTCAGCCCCTTTGGTTCAAAAAGATGGAGGCCTTAGAGATGTTAGGAAATCAGTCTGGTGATCATAATTTGGAGAGATCTTTGATATAGATATACTCATTACTATTTTTGTTATTTCTTGGAGGGAGTTAAAATGATATTGTTGTTTGCTATTTTGAATTTTGCCAGCCATTAAGAATAGATATTTAAAGAGATAACAGTTAACTTACAACAACATGAGCAGATTTTTATTAGGATTATTGATTTCTGACTCCATCTTTTTTTTTCCTGTGGGCCCCCATTCCTCAGTTAATGATGATGAACATGATGCTTGATGGCAAAATGAAATAGGAAAATTGTAACAACAAAATTATAACTAATGATTCACAAGTCAGAAATAACTATAAAGAAACAAATTTGGGCACTTATTTTAATGAAAAGTGTGCCTTTTAAGCAGATATCAGAAAGTTTTATCGTAGCCCCATTTTATATTGTAAAATACAAAATTACATATGTTAGCCTTACATAGGAATGGTGATTATGATGTTTTGCTTAATATATTTGGGTTAGAATGTGTATACATAATGACTGTAGCTTTTGCTCATTCTTTTTCAATGTAATTTGTGGGAAAGGTAGAGAAATAATTAGATTTTTCTCATTTTTTAATTTTCAGTGCAGCACAAAAATATCCTTTTTTCCTAGTGACAGACACACACATAAATGCACAAATAATTCTGGCTAACTTCACAGTAAGTATTATTGTTGTCAACACAACACAAAAGTATGTGGTGAGCACATGATGGTAAGAGCAAATTTTACAGTAAATGTGGATTTTTTTTCTTTGCAGGTACATGTTGGGACTTGCAGCAGTTCCGGCGGTTATACAGTTTTTTGGCTTTCTCTTTTTGCCTGAAAGCCCTCGATGGCTTATTCAGAAAGGACAGACTCAGAAGGCCCGTAGAATTTTATCTCAGATGCGTGGTAACCAGACCATTGATGAGGAATATGATAGCATCAAAAACAACATTGAAGAGGAGGAAAAAGAGGTTGGCTCAGGTATATAGACTTTATACTTATATGAATTTAAAAACTATACAGTGGTCTTATTTGTCATTATTTTGTGTGCGTGTGTGTATAATATATTTTTAATATATGGGTATTTATGTATAAATATGGATATTTATATTTATACAAAAATATCCATATATAAAATTATATATGTATTATTGACCTTCCATATTCATTTAAAAGCTATTGAACTGTTTTCAAAATAATCTTTGTAAAAAATTAAAATGCTTCGTTTACATGTGTTACATTAATTTTCATACTAATTTTTATAAAGCGTATGAGTACCTCATGTACTAGTTTAGGGATAAGTTTGTGTTTCCCTCTTTCCATTAAAATATTTAATTCATTGTCTATTCTGAAATTCACCATGTCAGAAAACCAAGAAAAGTCTCATGTTAATTTATGTTGATGAATTTATTTTTGAAGAAGATTTCACATAGAAATGTACCAAACAATTCTGAGGCAGGATCTATAATCTTGACAGTCTGATTTGGGTAAGTGATTTGTAGGATGTAAACGAGGAAAAGGTAGACATTTCAAGATACATTTTTTCAACAATAACAATTAGCCTGCTCACTTCACATTTCCCAAATTGGTCTTATTTTCTCTTGCGCTTCCTTTTGCCTCTACATTGTTAGCTCAAGGGGAGAAGCAGATTTGTATTAGTCAAATTATTTTTCATACCTGAGAAAATGCCAAGCACACACACTCCTTTGCTGATACATGTCTACACAGGTGTTAGAAGGTCTGTCCAGTCTACTTTCTCCTACCATTTTTGGTGGAGCTGACCATTGTTGCCTTCCTGAAACAACAGGATGAACACTCTGAAGAAGCTGGTCTCTGTGTTAGCCACACGTGGCTTGATTTAACTTTACCTACCTGTAGCATGATAGCATGATGCTGTCACTTTGTTGCTGAGATCAAAGCCTCAACAAACTGTGAGCCCATTCTATGTGAAGTTCATTTTTTTTAACGCTTTTTGAGCATCAGCCAGGTGTCCAGCAATGTCAGCATTTCTAGAGTAACATATTAGTGCAAAGATTAAGGAGAATTTTGCTTTAACAAAAAGTTTTACTTTTACTGAGTTAAACATCGTGTTCCTTAAAAAATATCTTAAAATATCTATTTAAATGACAACTTATTTTATGCTCCTGTCTAAATTTCTCTTCTCAGTAACTCAAATGAAATATGAATTTTTTTTTTTTTTTTGAGATGAAGTCTCACTCTGTTGCCCAGGTTGGAGTGCAATGGCGCGATCTTGGCTCACTGCAACCTCCGCCTCCCGAGTTCAAGTGATTCTCCTGCCTCGGCCTCCCGAGTAGCTGGGATTATAGGCATGGGCCATCATGCCTGGCTGATTTTTGTATTTTTTGTAGAGATGGGGTTTCACCATGTTGGCCAGGCTGGTCTTGAACTCCTGACCTCTGGTGATCTGCCCACCTTGGCCTCCCAAAGTACTGGGATTACAGGCGTGAGCCACCGCACCTGGCCATGAATTTGTTTTAATTGTAGTAATTCATACATTTGAAAGTTATGTACAAATTATGTGTGAGTGGAAAAACTTTTCAGAGTAAGAGAAAAATTGTTAAATACTATTTAGAGCCTGTATTTTTCTTAATTTATATAAAGGATAAAAATTTAATTTTTAAAAGCCTTCTTGTTTAGGGATATGGATATCATTGATTTTATTGCAAAGCATTAAGGATATAGCTTCATTTTGACTGCTTAAAAATATGTCTGACTACTCTAGCCATGCAGTGTTGACGGTGTATCCTATTTGAGTTTTAGACATTATTCGGAATATATAACCAAATGAATTTTTAAAGAAATCTGGGGTACATAGGGTTGCAATTATCAACATCTGCTTTAGTTTTTATCAGAAGTCTTTGGGAGCTAAATAGCACCCCTTTGCTTGGATATAGATAAAATAATTCCCTATTCCCCAGTTTTGTTTTACATTCACATTTGGCACAGGTTTTTAAAAATACTATAATGTTATTCACTGGATCCTAATAACGTTTGCTCATGCTTGAGTAAATATTCTAAACTTTGGAACTAATAGGATTATTAACCTATCCATTTCTGGATTTGTATTATTTGAAGTAATATCATCTTGCTTAATTTAAAAGCTAATCTTAACGTTCTTTTTAAAAAGTACGCAGTTAAGAGCATTATTGCATGAATGCATTCAGACAGATTTGCCAGATTACATGGCACCAGTGATTGAGGACCTGATTTTTTATGATTAAGAAACGTGACCACAGTAAAACATGGTCTGCAGAACTGTGAATTGTATTATCAGTATTGTAATGTCCAGGAGCAAGACTCTGGGTCAGTTTAATTGGAAAATAGAGAGTTAACAAACTGACATGGTCTTGTCCCTCCATCATGCTTCATTCAAGAACGATAGGCTAGATGGACAAATGCACATAAAAGAATGGCTAACTTCAAAGTAATAAAAATGCACTGGCACAGAAAAGATGAATCAGCCATTGTGTTGAAGGGTTAGGGAATGGCCTGTTAATCTGTCCATGGATCCTGAGAATTTTGATCCACAACATCAAGCCTGGGAACTGTGGGCAATAGAGTGCAGCTACCTGAAGGGAACCTTAATGTAGGTACCACAAATTATCCTGATATTCCAGGAATTTAGAAAGACGTTGTTTAAGACACCCTATTTCTTATAAGGAGGAATGTGTTATCAAACATGGTGGCTTAGATACCTGTTCGCATTGAGCTTACTAATAAATAGGTCTGATTCTGGATCAGTAAACCATGTCTTATCTAGCAGTTCCCCAGTGGATTTGTGACTTGTGACGGTTATGGCACTTGCATATGTGATCCTTCTCTTTTCATAGGAATTTTTTTTTCTTGTTCACTTGAATTTAAACTTGACCTCTGTGAGGAAAATAGGCCTAGCTACTGAAGTGTATATTGGCTACATTAATTTATTTTTTGGATGTGTGAGATTGTTAGTGCCTAGAGCATTTTTCTTGGTTTAAAACCACACTTTATATAGTAGATATGGCAGTTGCTCTGGCCATGTCAGCAGCAAAGTTGAGGCTTCCAGGCCATACCATGGAATAAGGTTGGAGTGCAATGGAATCTCATCTCTTCTGCCCATGGCATTGAGGTCAGACTCATTTGCATGACATCCAATGTCTTGTGTGTTTTTTTCCACTATAGTTGGCAAAACAACAACAAAAAGGCAGTATGGGAAAAGAAGCAAACATTTGGTTTTCACGTGTGCTCAGCACTGTTGATACATCCTGTAGGAATAATAAAGTAAGACTAGCAGAAACAACAGCTTGGTTTGGAGAGCTCGCTGGAGTGGGAGACAGGGAGATGGAAGAATATCACTGGCTGTGTCTCAAACTTGCCATCTTAAATGAATCTCGGGAGAGTTGCCGCGCCTCAGTTTCTTTTTAGGTTTGTAAGAAAAGAAAACCAGATTATAATAACTCCAAGGTCTGTTTTTTTAGGATTTTGAAAGTCTCTGAGAAGTGCCTCCTCTTTATTTCTAAATGCTGTACAGCAGTATTTCTTTCAAAAGTATTTATTGAGTGACATGCATCAGAGGTGGGGATGTGGCAGTAAATAAGACTGACAAGATTCTGGTCCATTCTCATTGGATAAGGCACACAATAAATGAAAGAGCAATTAACTACTAGATAACTACAAATTATGGTAATTGCTTTGAAAAAGATGAAGAGAATAATAAAATGCTTATAGAGGGAATGAAAAGGGGTACTTTACATGGGATGGTTAGGAAAGCCTCTCTGAAGAGATGAACTTGAAGGGTGAAAAGGAATCAGCAATACAGAGAACTGGAGGGAAGACTGTTCCAGAAAGAGGAAACAGCAAATGCAAAATTCTGTTTTATTAAGTGGGCCAGATTGATTTTTGCAAGTTTTGATCATAGCTACAAAGTGTACATGTACCAGACTTCTAAGATATTGCAGTAAGAACTAACTATACATCTTTTATCTCAGGTTCCCAAGCCTAAGTGTTAAATTAGTAGGGACACAATTACTGTTTTCAGAATTGAAAGCAAATTTAAATACAAAGAAACATTAATATGATTTCCATCATTTTGTGGTATGTCTGGTTTGTTTTCCTAGTTTATATCATATTGCATAGATGTGTAATAGAGTCATGGCCTGTATTATCAACAGATACAGAATCCTGATAGAGACATAGGTAATTACTTAAGCAATGATTGGCAAACTTTTCTGCTTAGCTTCAAAGTTGAGTGAAGAGAGGCAGGCCCTTTGGGGCCTGGTTATTATAACAGGAAGCAGCTGTGGTAAGCTCAAATATATTTGAATTTTTCTGCTTTATCCTAGAAATTAACCAAAGTTTGCATTCTGTTCTATAATATAACTGTTTTACTTGACTGTAAACCGTTTTTTTCCTAAATAGTTCCAGTTTTCATTCATTGGCTTCATGGAACCCATCACTCTGTCATTTATATCCCTGGGATATGTATCCCTCAGTTTGACAGACATGTCCTGAAAGAGTTTGGAGTTTCTCTCCTGGGCAAATTCATTAGAGATGATATTAAAAGTAGGGTCTGTCCATGTCACTAGAGATGAGAAGTCATTTCTTGGATTACTGGGCATATAGAAGGCATAGAGTCTTTGTTAGGAGCTTTAGTTCCTGAAAGTTAAAAATTGTCTCTCATGACAAAGGAAGTAAAATCAACCAACAGAAGAGACAGGATTCTTCTGAAGGCAGTCTTAGGGAACAATCCAGAAATGAGAGGTGTGTTTTCATGTGCTTTATATAACCTTGTTTGATAGCACTTATTTGACTTCTTTAGTTTCTTATCCTGTACCAGCGAACAAGTGTACCCTGAGAGGAGATGAAAGGAAAGCAAAGGCTGTTGCTGCCATGACTTGTCAGAAGAAGCCCCCTGGCCCCGCTGCAGGAGCCCCTCAAGCACAGTTTCTGGGAGGTCTTAGATAAGGCACCATCTCTGTCATCCTCCTCTCCACTCTGAAGTGGGCGTGCTAAGGCAGGATCATTGGATGCTTAAGGCAGGATCATTGTGCTAAGGCAGGATCATTGGAAGGAAAGCATGAACAACAAAAGCATGAACAACAAAAGCTTTCTCTAGAGAAACATACAGATGGTGGTGTTAGAACCACTGCAAAAAGCTAGGGAAGCTAGGGAAATTAAAAAGCAGTATGTTTAGGGAGAATGAGGTTATTAGGACAGCATCAGTGCAATGACAGATTGAGTAAAGGAAGGCAGGCAAGGGAGACACTGACTGCATGCCTTAGGGCAGTAAAGAGCAGCCTTTTATAAATCTATTTATAGCATGGGTTCAATCCAAGGAACTTAAAAATGGTCATGGGCTTTTTTTCCCCTAAAAGAAAATGGCTTTTTTTGGGGGGGGAGGGGTGAATTCCATGTTAAAAAATTACATATTAAAACTTTTTTTTTTTTTTGAGACAGTCTTGTACTGTCATGCAGGCTGGAGTGCAGTGGCACAATTTTGGCTCTTTGCAACCTCTGCCTCCTGGGTTCAAGTGATTCCCCTGCCTCAGCCTCCCCAGTAGCTGGGACTACAGGCATGCACCACTACGCCCAGCTAATTTTTTGTATGTCTAGTAGAGACGGGGTTTCACCGCGTTGGCCAGGCTGGCCTTGAACTCCTGACCTCAAGTGATCCACCTGCCTTGGCCTCCCAAAGTGCTAAGATTACAGGCATGAGCCACAACACCCGGCCTTAAAAATTGTTTTACAGTTAATATTACCTAGATCATCTAGATCATGTACTTTCAGAATGGACTTATTAAACAGAAGAATGCCAGCCAGAATATTGGCCCTACCCTTTGGTCAGTAAAATCTCAACATTTAATCATATAGGAGAAGTAGCAACCCAGAGGCACTAGCTAATGTTTCAGATTGGAATTAGATGCAGGCCCACTAGTTGCTAGTCACTGTAGTAGGGCATTTAGGTTACCTGTGTGATATGTAATCTATGTGAAAATATGCAAGCCAGCAAGATTTCCATTATTTAATTTTATCAACAAATGAGTTTAGGAATCTGGGTGAACGTTGGCTTTGCCTTTGACAAAGAGTTTGATCTCTAGCCTGGAAAGCAAGAGTATTGTAGGGAAGAGAACTTATTCAGGAGCTTCCTGTGAGTTCATTTTAAAACATGATTTGATTTACCTCCAGTTCCTTGGGGGTCATGTCTGTCATGTATAGGAAGGGACAGCTGCATCTCTTTTTTTTTTCCTCTAGTAATTTTGCAATTTGGTCATGAAGTCTTACCTACCTTCGTAAGTCATTTTCTTTTTTTGTGAATTGATATTGACTGTGGCCCTTTCAGCAAATCATATTCTGCAGAGAGGTCAGAGGGGGTAAATATTTATCGTATTTTGATAGAAATTCTTCTGTATGTTTCTTTAGAAATCCAATTTCAGCATAATGACACTGCAGTCAAATACTCGTTGCAATTGACATCTGCTGCACTTAGAGGAAAATAGTCATTCTCTCTAATATATTTGGTAGTTTGCTTTTATTTTTTTCATGTGGTAGTACTACAGTGTTATCTGACCCAAAACAATGCATGGATGTCATTTACTAGGTGAACTTTAAATAGATATTGATAAATTGTTCTTGGTAAGATGACCTGCAATTTTCTAAATATTGGCAAAGAAAACATTTCTATATCCAATATTCTAGAGGTGGTTGTAAAATTCCAAAAATTGTCAAAGTATTAGGCTGGTAAACAGTAGATTAAAACAAAAGGTCAGATAAAAAGCTACTTTAATTCTCAATCCTTATGTTAAGCTGTAAGCTGAAGGACTATTAAAACAATACACAACTCTGTTCAGTTTTTAGTAAAACTTATTTTCTTAGGCATGCTGACTTACTTAAAAGAAACACTATTTCATTCAATATGGCTTTAAATAAAGGTTGTCGTCGATTTTCTAAACCCCAGACAACTTTTAAAATCTTATGCAGAATTGGAATCATTCTTGGATTTTACATTAAAATGTCATTGACTGTTCTGTTGTTATATGGGGATAAAGAACAGCACAGAGATTTTCCACTGAGCATACTCACGGGAGAAGAAAACATTTTTCAGATTACTTGTAGGCTTTTAAGTCATTTTCCTTGATTTATACTGAGAATCCAGATTGTCTTAGTAAGTAGATAGGTAATACTTCAAAGCTTTATATTTTTGTTTTCTTGCTAAGATGTACTTAAATCCATATCTCATAAAAGAAGATCCATGCAGAAAGAATTGTGACTTTGTCAAAGATCTCTTTTTTCCCACTTACCGTTAGGTTCATACTATATTTTACTGCTCTGTATTTAATACGATTAAATGGAATGAAAAAAAAAAAACCCACAAGGTAGACATTTGAAAATGAATGTAATTCATGAGTTGCTGCTCAGGGTAGCTCACTTCCAACTTAACTTGAAATCCATCATTCAGTATAGGTGATAGTCTGCTTCGTAAATAAAACCATGATTTGGAGACATTTTTTCTTCAAGATACGACAAATTGCTATGCCCTTTAAAGGTTACCTGATCTTTGTAGAAGGTTACCAGAAGGTCCTGAAGAAAACCCTTTTTTTTTTCCCACCTCAAAGGGGAAGGCACAGGAGCCATTCTTTAGTGTTGGGACATTTTAGTTTAACAAGACAATTCCATGGATAGTCTGTAGAATCAGAATATCAATGGCCATGTGTATTAGTCTATTTTCACACTGTGATAACTACTCAAGACTGGGTAATTTATAAAGACAAGAGGTTTAATTGACTCACAATTCTGCATGGCTGGGAAGGCCTCAGGAAATTCAGAATCATAGTGGAAGGTGAAGGGGAAGAAAGGCACGTCTCACATGGCCGCAGGAGAGAGAGTGAAGAAAGTCACACAGTTTTAAACCGTCAGAGCTCGTGAGAACTCACTCACTATCATGAGAACAGCCTGAGGGAACTGCCTCCATGATCTGATCACCTCTCACCAGGTCCCTTCCTTGACACCTGGGGTTTACAACTCAACGTGAAATTTGGGTGGAGACACAGAGCCAAACCACATCACCATGTCATATACTATCTGAAGAAACCTGCCTATTCTCAAATGTCAGCAGAGATCTTCTCAGAGTTTCTTAAAAAATCAAAGAAACCTTATTTTTTCCCTCATATTTTAAATTGGATTTGTATTGGGGAGCTACAGTGGTCAAATGCCATTAATTTTCTCCTCTTACCTGAGGCCCTCTAAACCCTCTGGTACTAAGCAGTATTTTTAATCAGTATCTTACTGAATACCTTGCTTTAGATGCACATTTCAGTTAACTCACTTATTAACACCTATTATTTCTTGAAACGTTGAGCCTTCAATAAGGAGGTGTGTCCTTGGCAGGATACAGTGAGGAGAAAATTATTAGGTTTATGAAGCCGGAACTATAATCAGTTGCTGTGTAAGTGTCTCACGTTTTTCAGTACAGTTTTTCCCCTGGATTTTTCAAGGTACTTCCTTGAAAATGATTCCCACTGCACATCTCTTAGAATAAAATAAACCTTCAAGATAATTTTTTAAGAAAACTGAGCCCAGTAACTGTTCTTTCCTAAAGGGGAGGGGCAACTAGTGTGAAAATACTAGTAACAATTTCTTTTTCCTGAATGCCCATTTCTATAAATGTTACAAGCACATCTATAGAAACACATTCTCCCTTTCTCTTTTCACTCTCATTCTTAAAACAATCCTAAAACAGACATTATAATCCACGTTGTACTGGGAAAATGGAGTGCTGGCAAGGGCAAACAGCTAGGAAGTGAAGGAGGCGGGATCTGGGCCCCAGCTGCTACCACTCCAGCTTCTCCCTGTTCTGCTCTGCAGACTGCATCTCATGCCACATCTGTGCCATGCAGTTTGGATGTAAATATTAGGAAAAAAAAAAAAATTAGGCATTGTCCTTGCTCTTAAAGAGCTTAGAACCTAACAATCAAATGTCCTTAAGAATATCCTTTTCTGAAAGGAAAGCATTCAAACAACTATAAAAAATGTGAAAAAGCCAATGAACTTCAAAATCAGTTGGCAAAATAGTTCAGTTGCTTCCACCTTGAGCCTGTATTCCCAATCTCTCTTCTCTTCTCGGTTCTTGCTGCCATTGCCTGGGTGAGGTCTCTGGTGCTTATTCTCTCTGCCAGAGTAACAGTGTCAACTGTCCTTGTTTCTAGTATCTTCCCTCTCCATCCTTTCCCCATGGCCTCCAAAATTATCATTGCAACACACAGACAGGATCATGTCCCTCTCCTCTTCAGAAACATGTTCCTTAACTTATTATTAAACTTCCTTTACAATCTTGTTTGAATGTATCTTTCCAGGTTTATTTCAGTAGTGCCCAGACTCCATCATCATACCAAGAGAGCAAGCAAGAAGCACTCAACATTACTAAGTGCCTTCTGACTCTCAGGGTGAGGAGAAAATGGTGTGGGTGGGATCTGAGGAGGTAAGGTGGAGCCTGGAGACACCCTGAGATTGTTCACATCCCCTGACCTTCCCTGTTTACCCCAATCAGTGAACCCTGCAAAGAAGATGCAATTATTGTCTCGCAAAAAGAATTATATTAAATTTGAAAAGCAGTAACATATTAGGAGTTTTCTCTGGGCAAAGAAGGCCTTTTGATATTAGTCTCCATTAGCAAAATTTAAGACAATTTATTGTTCGGTTGACAAAAAGGCTGAACTAAAAGTGCTTAAGCATTTCTTCCTGCTTAGTCCAATAGATGCTGGTATTATTTTAATTGTGTTACACAAGAATAGAAAGTCTACAAATTAGGAAAAATCGTATTTCATCCACAAGAAAGAACTATTGAGAAAGTAGAATGGTGATCTTTTAATTATACTTTGAATATAAGCATTTGGAGGCTGTTCTCTGTGTTGAGGGTTAGGTATTAATTTTGATGCATTATCCTAGGGGTTGTCAAACTTTTTCTGTAAAGGGCCAGATAGTAATACTTGGCTTTTTGGCCAGTGGTCTTCACTGTAACTACTTGTCTCTGCTGTTACAGTACAACCATAGAAAATGTATTTTAAAAAGGAGTGTGGATTTCTTCCAGTAAAGTGTGAAGCTTATTATTTTGTGCTTGTTATGTTTTATTATTTATAAAAACAGAAAGCCGGCCAGATTTGGCCCATGAGCTATAGGTTGCTGATTCCTTCTTTAACCATTAAGTATGTCTGTTTTTATCAGTTTCCTCAGTTTTTATTCTTTGGACTAATTTGAGGATGCTATTCACGTTCTTTCCTTTCTTTTTTCTTTCTTTCTTTTTTTTTTTTTTTTTAAATATGTGCATTGAAGCCACTTCAGTGTGGTAATTCCTAGTGGGTTTGGCTTCTGTGCAGAAGGTAAAGTTGTCAATGTTTGTGTCCACGTGTAAGTGTGCACAGGGTGTGTAGTCACAGAGGAACCTCTAAAGAAGTATTGCAGGGAAGCCTCTGTATAATTGCAGCAACAGACTTTTATGAGACCACTGCTCAGAGCACATTGCTTCTTCAAGGCCCAGCCACAGTCACTTCTGCATATGTCACAGCCCCACAGGTCCATCTCAGCACATGATGTCACATTTGATCTAATGGGGCACCAAAAGAGGCCAGGTTTCTATGGTGAGAGTTGAGTCTGTCATCATCTGAGACTGGAGCCAGCTGTACTATCAAAATGGCTTGATGCACCAACAGAAATCTTAGCTCCCTTGCCTTGAATTGCAGTCAAAGCAAGATGATACCTTTTGTGAATGTTAAAATGCACCAAACAATTAAGGAGATGGTTTTATTCAGGCTCTTGCAATAGAGAGAAGATGTATTAATGAGGAAATCCTTAAAGAAGAGGGAGAAATTCTGGGATTTTATACAGCAGGTAAACAAAGGAGTCAGAAGGAAGGTTGGAAGTAATCTTATATTGGAATATGAGAGGGCAGAGTGCCTTCCTTCTCTCGACTCCCTGGAAACCTTTGTGATATGTCTCTGGAGCAGTCAGCATTAGATTTGCTTCCACTAGCAACTTAGCCTTACTTATCTTTGTATCCTCATTGCCAGATACAGTCATTGCCTGACGTTAGCAAGGCACTTCATAAATGTTTCTTTGACTTTCTGTTTACGTGAGAGGAGTGGATGGTGATGTCTGATCTTTGACTCCTGAGATTTGGAGGAGGAAATGGAGCTCTTACAGTGTGTAGACTCCTTCCCTCTGTCCTACTTAGTCATCATGAGACCCTGGGGAGGTGTGGTTGGTGAGGAGAAGACATAAGTCAGTGCACAATGACTATTTGTTGAATGTCTCTATTTACAAAGGCAGATGTATATGTTTAGAAACTCGTTGTGGACTTTTAGCAAAACAGTTTGGAATTTATGTGTATATTAGGAGTTATTAGTATTTTCTTCTAGTTGCTAACATGTTGGGCCCATCGAAAAAACTTATTTTTTGACATCAAGTATTTATAAGTACAATGAAATTTCAAATATGAAAGTTATAAAATCTCATGTGATTTATTATCTTAGAATTAATTTTGAAGGAGATCCTTGTTACTGTCTGAATTTAGGAAATACCCCTTACTAATTAATGAGCCAATTTTTATTTATAACTCTAGACAATAGATTATAATTCAGACTAGGCCCTTATTATAGGTATGTACACTTCAAGATGTGATGGAATTTCTCTCTACTATGAAAGGTGAGCCTATGAAATTCAAATATATTTTCACTAGCTATGACTACAGTGGCTTCAGCACTTTTAAGACAAATGATTATCTTGACCATAGAATTGTAGTCAGAATCTTAGATGTGAAATTTGGTGTTTGTTTTGTTTCTGCTACTCTCATTAGCTAGTTTATATTTATATACACCCACTTTGAGAAGTAATTGGAAACTCATGGTTCTCAAAAATGTTCTGTGAAAAATATTTTAATTTTACTTTCTGAAACAGCTTATCAGGGTTTCTGTTCATTTCACAAGAATTACTGAAAACACAGGTGGCATCATTTATGTAATAATTCTGTAGATTTTTCTGTCTTAAGCTTAATAATGGTCCTGTGGATATTCAGATTTCAAGAGTAGTTTTTTTTTGGGGGGGTGGTGTAGTATGTTTTCAAATTATAAGTTCTTTATTCTTACATGGAATCATGGCTGTAGCTGCATAACCATGCAGGTGACATTTGTGGCAGCAAAGAGGAATAATATAATTTAAAGTTTTATTACTGTTAAAGAGCAAAGTTTGAAGAGCAATCATGTGACTTTTCTGATTTTATCTGTTAGCAGTTTTTTTGAAAACTAATAAAAGAGCATTATTCTTTTTTTGAATATTTACGATGTGTCATGTACTGTGCGTGGCACTTCACATGGTATTATTATATCTTTTAATGCTACAACAATCCAGTGTGAAATCGTTATTATTATCATCATTATTATATTATACTCTTTTAGAGATGAGAAAAACCTCAAGTAAACTGCATAGATCTCCTTGGCTACTAAGTGGCTAAATTCAGAATTCCAACCCATCTGCCTTTATATTTTGCTGGACAACAGCAAAACGTCTGCTTTCGTGGATATACATGCTGATGAAGGAACACAGACAATAAAGGAATATATAACACACCAAGAAGCAATGAGTGTGATGGGGAAAGATCAAGTGCAGTGGAGGAGGGAGAGTGTTGGAAGCCTGGGGTTAGAAAGGTGAGTCATGGCCCTTTTGATGAGGTGCCCTCTGAGACTGGAGGAAGTGGTAGTACATTTCCAGAAAGGAAACCCAGACATACATTTGCCTTTAGTTTTATTCAAAAGGAAAATTTGTGCTGAGAAGCTCTACCTGCCAAGTGAATTAGTAAGCTACTCAGGTAAACTGGCCAGAGACCTAATTATTAACAGGATCTTGATGTCAGAGGCTTGTTCTGATAAGGAATTCCATTAGGTTCAGCAGTATTTTACAACAAAACTATGTTGAACAACTTTTAGAAAGGTGCTTTTTCAACATCAGAATCACCTCTGTTATTAAGAAAAAAGAAAGGCCACGAATATAAATTGCATAGGTCTCCTTGGCTACTAAGTGGCCAATTCAGAATTCAAACCCATGTTGAATTCCTTGGAATTTTTTTTTTTTCTTCTTAAATGGGCCAGTGAAGGTTATTGTTCTGATAGTCTTAAGTACTCAGATAAGAATAAATTATAGTTATTAACTAGTCATATATAATGTGAGAAATAGACCCTTTAAAAATTCTTTCACATACTTCATTACTTGTAAAATTATACCAGCAGGAATAGAGACGTACCTACAAGATGTATATTTAATTTAGTCTTGGAGTTTTTACATATTACTTAATTCAGCGGTCTTAGAAAATTATTTTTCCCAAAGTGTAGTCATTTGCATAAAACATTTGTTTTCTATAATAATCTCAAATAAAAATTGGCTGGATCTAATATAGCATTACGATAGAAATCTTATTTTGAATATGAAGGTGATAATTCAAGAATATCTTTTGGCTGGCGTGGTGGCTCACGCCTGTAATCCCAGTACTTCGGCAGGCTGAGGTGGATGGATCACTGAGCTTGGGAGTTTAAGACCAGCCTGACCAACATAAAGAAACCCCGTCTTGACTAAAAATACAAAAAAATCAGCTGGGCATGGTGGCATATGCCTGTAATCCCAGCTGCTTGGGAGGCTGAGGCAGGAGAATTGCTTGAACCTGGGAGGTGGAGGTTGCAGTGAGCCGAGATCATGCCATGGCACTCCAGCCTGGGCAACAAGAGTAAAACTCTGTCTCAAAAAAAAGAAAAAAAAATGAATATCTTTTATAATCTGGACTAGTCCAACACTTAATTTTGAAGTATTCAAGTGGAATCTTTTTATGGAATTCTTAGGTGAATTTTCTCTCAATTTGGGGTCTCAGTGTACCAATCTGCTATGAGTTGGAAAACCTTCCTCTTTTACAAAAGGGATAGTTTCCTTCTGAGGTAAATCAGTGGAAGCTAGAGATCTCCACAAATGTTAGAGTTTTGTACTTTGTACTTAATTGACTTAATTAGCATACAGTTGTACATTAGTTGGGTGAGTTTTGTTTACCTCTGGGCCAGAAATACATATTCATCCATTATTTGACACATGTTTCTGGGGCTTTTACTACTTGCGCATTATTATACTAAAAGTAATGTGGTGTACAAAGTTTTTATAAACAAAGGCTTTTGTCTCCAGGAACTTTTATAATGTACTAGATAAGATCAGGTACTCAAATAAGGAAGCAAGAAGTTGATGCTATATAATGTTTGAGTATAGATATGTTCCAAATACAAATAACATATACATATATATGAAGGCATTTCCTCCTTATTTCTCTTGAAATTATGTGGCTTCGTTTTAGTATGAGTCTCATCAGTTACACAATTGGGCAAGTGATTCAACTTTTCCCCCCAAGTATTTAGTCTCTTCCTCTGTAAAATCAGGTGCTGAAGGTTGTTCCACATCCTGGTGAGAAGTGAATGGGATGAGGGAAATACAGTGCCTGCGTAGGGCCGCACACGTAAGAGCTCATTAAAAGTGGATTTCTCATCTTTTGTACATTAGTGAAATAAGCTCCAAAGGAAATTGTAATGATTTTCATTATACAAAATATATATAGTGTCTGAGTGGCTTACCATTGTAGATTTAGATAGTGGTTCTTGTGTCATATAGTGGGCTCAGCTTTTCAGAAAGACAGATTTGAGTTGTCCAAGGCTATGTGCCGTTGGGTGTTACTTAATATCTAGAAACTAATTGCCTGGGTTTAAATTGCAGCTGTGCAACTTTAGGCAACTTAGTTGACCTCTCTGTGCTTGTTTCCTCTTCTGTAGCATGGAGATAGTTGTAATACCTGTCTCAGATAATTATATTTTAAAGATTGGATGATTTAATATGTAAGGCTGTGAGAACAGTGCCTGGCACATTATAAGCTCTGTAAAAGTATTCATTCAATAATATTTTTAGACATGAAAAGAGGGTGGTAACAAGATCCCCTGCTCTTAAGAGCATAATCCATCCCTTTCTCACTGTATTGTAAATTTTTGACCTCACTTAGCCTTTGTAGAAAATAGTTTATATTACTCAGGTTTTTTTTTTTTAAATCATTTTGTAAGACCACTTGATGATTTGACTATACCCTTTTTGCACTTGGTTTTGGAAGCCATCCTCTGCATGTATCTTTTGACTATAGAAACTAAAAACATTTTTACTGTAGCTGCTACTGCATATTCCTTTACTGTCTCCTTATGTCTGAAGATCATATAAATGTCTTTAGCAGGATTTTTCTTACCAACTCACTTGAACTTAGAAACTGAAAGCACAGAGTTAGAAGTGGCATCTCCTGTCAAACATTCCCTAGCGAAAATTTCTTACAGCATTGTCATTCAGTCCCGGAGGCCTGCTATCTCTGAGTGCTGGAGTGTGATTTCCTGTGTCACTTTCCTTTCTGGGACCATAAAATTGGATTCCAGACATTTGTTGGGAAGTTTGCGATATGCTGTTTTGAACATTACTGAACCAATATAATAACCCACTACTTGTGTTTTGGAAGCAGTGTTATCTGTGACAGTTATTGCTTTGCTGATTTACATTTGGAAGAATGTTGAAAAAGAAAAAGGCAGAGCAGTAAAAGGTAGAAGCATGTATGTCCTGGTGATCTTTAGCAGGTAAGACCAGACTGATGATATTAAGCTAGAATTTAGGTTCATCATGGTCACATCCATGCGATAGAAAAATATCACATCACATCTTTAAGCAACACACATTCTGACCTTCTGTAATAAATTGTATATCTCCCTTGATCTTTCTGGAAACACTTCCAGTTTCTACACCTGGAGTGAAGACGCTTGCCAAATGACAAGAATAAATTAGAGAATTAATCCAGTGCCAAAGATAATTTTTGAGAAAAGAGTATCTGTTTCCAAATGGCAAAAGAACATCATTAATATCTTCTCTAGCATTCAAAGACAGGAGACAGATGCTACTAATAAAATATAATAAACTCCTCATGGTTGTTTCCAATAAAACACAAATGATTTTGTAGTTCTATAATTGGAACTGTCAATCTAATTTAGTAGGTTTCTGTTGATAAATTTGATTTCAAAAAGTTGAGATGAGAAACTAATTCACTATTATGTACAATATTTCTTGCTAAGTATAAGGAATATTAGCAAAAACTGTAGTAAAAATTAGGAAGTTGAACTATTAATACCTCTTGGCTTATTGAGATGCAGCAGATCTTTATGTGACTGTCAGTTTAGTGGAAAGAGTGACAGGAATCCCAGGTTGTAACTCCTGCTCTGCCTATCACTAGGTGGCTATTGCAGGGCTGGCTTCATGGACACGCGACCTCTGCAGCTGCCCAGAGCCCTGCACTCAGAAGGGTCCTGCCCTTGGTTTAATCCTCTTCTGTCACTGTCTTCAGAGTTGTAATTTTTGAGCACGGGACTCACATTTTCATTTTGCCCTCAGCCCTACAAATTAGGCAACCACAACTGGCTGTTCACAGCTTACTTCTCTGAATTTCAGAGAAGGCAACCAAAAGATTCTGGAGCTAGGCATCGGGTATACATGGACATAAAGATGGGAACAGTAGACGCCGAGGACTACTAGAGGGAGGAGACGGGGAGGGAGGAAGGAAAGGGTTGAAAAACGACCTATTGGGTCCTGTGCTCACTATTTGGGTGACAGGATCATTTATGCATGTTTATGATGTTAAGGATCAAACCTTAGCATCACACAATATATCTGTGTAACAAACCTGCACATGTATCCCCTGAATCTAAAATAAAACTTGAAGGAAAAGATTCTTGATAGATCTAAGAGTATGAAATTCTGTGAGTCCCAACAAAGGGAAGGACCCAAGAAAGTTTATTAGAAACTGAAAGCTCCTGATCCACCCTCACTTGTTCTCAGTCAGGAGGAATTTTGCCCCCTAGTGGGCATTTAGCAATGTCTGGAGGCATTTTTGATTGTCACAGCTCAGGGAATGTGATGTTGACATCTAGTGGGTAGTAGGATGTTTAATGCTACAAATACACAGAACAGCCCCTGCAACATAGAACTTTTTGGCCCAAAAAGTCAACACTCAACACAGGTGATGTTGATAAACCCTGCCTACCGTTATTATTTGTGTCTCCAACTCTTGGTACCGGGCGTGGGAGGTTACTCAAAAGTTAGTTGAGCCTCTGGCTGTAGCCTGGATCGTAGGTTGTTGTATTTTTTACCACATGAAGACTGAAGAACGAAGCTGGTGAGTAGGAAGTGTAACTTAACATTTGCACGAGATACACTACACAGATGCTCTTCTTAGGGCCTCTACATCTCACACTTACCAAACCAACTGGTGGGCCCCAGACTCTTAAAACCTCTAAAACACAACACACTCACAGCTGGCAGATGACTTTCCAGGACGCCCTGGCACTTGTGATGCGGTCTGTTGGGCTGTTTACCAAGTCATTTAGGTTTGTTTCTAAATCTGTTTATGCCATTGTGCTGGTTGCTGTAATTAGGCAGTAGAATCAACTATTACAGAAATTTAAAGAAAGAAAAATATAAAAAAAGGAGAGCAATTTCAGTGAAAACCTAAGTTGAATGTTTTGGAAAGATTCAATAAAGATGTCATTAAAGAAAACTGCTCTCAAAGTGTGGGCAAGATGGTTTTAAAAGGTTTGTGAAAAAATCATTAAAATTAGATGGATTCTATATTGAATTTGCTTAACTGTCTTAAGTTTTCAGTATTATTTATGGAGATTGTAGACAATACATTTTTTTCTGTGGTTTTTGCAAGAAAAACAATGCTTTAGTCAGCTGATCCAGGCTCAGAAAAAAAAAGCCTTACCTACATCACAAGATGGAAGAATGAATGGCATTTATATATTTTAGGGTGATAAAATTATTTATAAATGTAACCTCAGCTGACTTTCCCTAATAATCAATATTTCAGACAACAGGGCGTCTATTACCTTTATTTTCCAGTGGGAAAAATATCAAATATTCTACTTTTCTCACTTGCAGATCCAAACAACTCTCAGCTCAGTGATGTCTCTGAATAATGTTCCTTATTTAACACTACCTTATATGTTAAGAAGATATTCATTTGATTTCTGACTCCACAAACACCATCATAAGATCTGTCTCTTGCCAGATTCAATACTGAAATGTTTAAGAACTGTGCTTCCTTTTCAGTGCATATGTTTTCTTGAGTTGCCATGTGCCTGTATAGATTAGCGGCATCTGGGATTTTTACCACGTCACATTCTTTTAGAATTGAAGAAGTATAAATATTACCAGAATTGTAGTCAAATAATTTCAAGTTTTTTATAGAAAATATGACAAATAACCTAATGTATAAGGAAACAAAAGTTTCTGCAATTCCATCACTGTTTCTAATAGAAAATTATGAATGAGACATTAATTGTCAGTCTGCCTCTTCTTCAGATGGCTTTTGACTTAGTATTATTTTGTTTTAGGACCCATGTCTCTACATTGGACTTTAGAGCAGAGTTCTGGCCTCTTATCTTGAGCTTGTTAAAAGAAACTGTCGCCAGGCATGATGGCTCATGCCTGTAATCCTAGCACTTTTGGGGAGGCCAAAGCTCGAGGATTGCTTGAGCTCAGGAGTTCAAGACCAGCCTGGGCAACATAGTGAGACCTTGTCTCTGTAAAAGTTTTTTAAAAAATTGGCTGGGTGTGGTGGCACATGCCTGAAGCCCCAGATACTCGGGTGGCTGAAGTGGGACAATTGCTTGAGCCCAGGGAGTCAAGGCTGTAGTGAGCCATGACCATTGCCACTGTACTCCAGCCTAGGTGACAGAATAAGACCCAGTCTCAAAAAACAAAAACAAACAAACAAAAAAACCTTAATGTTCTATTTCCTATTAATAGTCACAATATTATAGATATTATCTAACAGTTTAAAGCCATAAACATTCTATTTGGCTAGTAAAATGTTTTCATCATTTATGATCAAAGATTTCAGGCATTTTTCTTCTTTAATTAGTTTAAGTTAACAATAAATAAATTCAGCCTCCCTTTGGAGGGTTAGAACAGGACAGATAAAGCTAAATTCCTCTTTGCCCATCACATCGATCCCACGCATTTTATACCTCTCTGCTCCACTGCTGGCCATAACAGATTTGGGGAATATTCTTCCAGACACACACACACAAACACACCTAGAGAATTTTTATGGTAATAGTATCATAATGCATGTATTATTAAGTTACTTGTTTGCTTTCTTTCAAGTTGAGTTGATTTGAGTCAGATCTTATATAAATCTAGTCCATCCCTTTAAACTTCTCTGTGATATTCCAGATATGGAATGTCACATTCTGTTTATGTGTTCTTTTATTAATAGGCATTACATTTGGGGGTATCATAAACAGTGCTGTAATGAACATCCTTGTATATGTTTTCTTGAGCACATGTATGTGTGTTTCTCTAGGGTAGATATCTAGAAGTAGAATTGTGCACAACCATTTATCTCATGGTGTTATAGTGTTATTTTAGTTCATTTGTTTCCATGGTAATTTCTTTCTAAGCTTCAAAGTATATTGGCTGGAAGTCATCGAATCACAACCTTTTAGAAATCAAAGCTCAGGTATCATCTTACAATATGAAGGATTAGTTTAATTGTTTCTCCATATTCTTTTTTTTTTTTTTTGGAGTGACGCAGTCTCGCTCTGTCGCCCAGGCTGGAGTGTAGTGGTGAAACCTCTGCTCACAGCGAGCTCCGCCTCCTGGGTTCAAGCCATTCTCCCACCTCAGCCTCTCGAGTAGCTGGGACTACAGGTGCCCACCACCATGTCTGGCTAATGTTGTTTTTGTATTTTCAGTAGAGACGGGGTTTCATCATGTTAGCCAGGATGGTCTCGATCTGTTGACTTCATGATCCGCCTGCCTTGGCCTTCCAAAGTGCTGGGATTACAGGCATGAGCCACTGTGCCCAGCCAATTGTTTCTCCATACTCTTAACATTTGGTATCTTGACCCTGGAGCTTCCTGTCATCACCACCACCCTGCTGCTTTTTATGCCTTAGTAAAATCTTTTTGGCTTCTCTGTTCTACTTTTATTAACAGAATTTCAGATAAGAGAATGTTGTTATAAGGAATCATTTTAGCAGGTGTGTTACTATATTTAGTCTAAAATTTTAAAAAATCTGGATAGGTTTTTTAAAAAAAATCCTTAAATGTTTTGAGATGCTGATTAGTTCAGAATTATACATATGTTGGTTTAAACTAGTTGAATCTTTTGATGCTGTTTAATTACCTCAGACTCTACCTCAGAAGTAGAAAGTGCTTATATTTTAAATCTGGGTTTTCCCGTAAAACCCATTGTATATTATAAAAGTAATATAGATAAGGCGTTTTTCCATGTATGGAATCTTTAAGGCTGGTAAACGATATCTTCCTTCTTTGAATAGTGTTTCTTCCTTTGAATAATTATGCTACCACTCATATTTAATGGCTTCTATGTGTGAGGTATTGTGCCATATTTTTTTCTTTTAATTCTTACAGCAAGCCAAATAACTAAAATGTGAACTATTATCATTTTATAGTTGTAAAAATTGATAGAGAAGTTAACAATCTTGCCCAAGTTTACCCTGTTAGGAAATAGAAGAACTAAGAATTCAAAACAAAGCTTATCTTATTAGAACAGTATACACTCTTCAATGTACTATATAAGGATACCCTTTTCCATCATCATTTAAAAACTATGTGAGTCTAGTTCTGGGATTATGCTTAATTTTAAAATAGTAATGACCTTTTTTTAAAAAAAAGTTTTAAAGTTGTTTTCAGCAGCAATTGTAAATAAAATAGTTTGGTGGACAGTCAATTAATTTTGTGTGGCTTTTTTTTGGATAGCAAAAAAGAACTTATGAAGTTTTAGAATATTTATACTATTCTTGAACTATTTACTGATTCTTCTTTCATATACTTACTAGACCGTGTGCTTAAAATTTTGAATCTTTAAAAGTAATGCAAGTTTTTTATAGAAAATATGACAAATAACCTAATGTATAAGGAAACAAAAGTTTCTGCAATTCCATCACTGTTTCTAATAGAAAATTATGAATGAGTTCCCTTCTCGCAGCATCTATGTGCCCACTTCACATTGGGCACTTCTCTCAGCCACAGAGCAAAGGTGGGAGGGGCTCATTAGTTTCAAGAAATTCTTATACTGGGTCAACTTTAGTAAGAAAGAAAGAAACGAAAGTTGAACACACATGACTGTTAGCTAATTAAAAGATGTGGCTCATCTTCTTTATAAATAAATAAACTGATTAGTGACCCATTGCTGGAAACTGGAAGAATCAGAAGTAAGTGTGCATCTGCTAGCATTACAAATACTCAAATGGGAATTTCTTTATATTATTAATGATTAAATTTATGAAGGAATTAAAAATATGATCTTGGCAGCAGAGAGTATGAATTTGTTATGTGTATTTGAGATCTGTCTAGCCGACACTGTAGACATGGGTTTATTCTTGTAAACCACTTTTTCTCCAGAGAGACTTGAGTGAACAGGTGGGATTGCTTCCATTGATAGGAGGATAAGGGAAGTGAGTACAATGTTTATATCTAACTGTACTTGCTTCCTGCACTTCTGATATGGAGACCTTCACCTAAATCTTTACTACTGTTATTGTCTTAATACCTCTTTTTCTTTGCTTAGACTATTAGAAAGAAATTTTACCTGACTCTTAGAATTTATTCATTATTTTGTTACTATATTTTCATTTTAACATAATTTTCTTACTAATAAGCTTACATTTAATGAACATAAACTATGTGCCAGTTATGGTGGCAAATGCTTTACATGCTTTGTTTTGTTTAATCCTTACCACATCTCTTTGATAGAGATTCATATTATTGACTGTTTTCTGGAGGAGAAGTGGAGGCTAAGGAAAGAAAAATAAAATTAACCAAAATGTTACAGCTGATAGAAGACAGAGGCAAATCTCTTGCCCAGATATACCTGAGATACAAAGTCAAGTATTCTTGCCACTCTGTTACAGCTTATACATTTCAAAATTTCTTTTTGGAAAAAAATAATATTGTATTCTTATGTTTTCCCAGTGAGCTCCTGTAAACATTTAGGTTTCATTTTAATCCTGCGTTATTAATTTCAATTTTGTATTTTGCCTAAGTATTAGCTGACTGTATGGGGTTATTAATTTATACTCATATGGTGGGAAGTTGAGTATGTTTAGACTTAAAACATTCATGTACTGTTTTTCTTTTTCAAATTTTAACCCTGTTTGATTGAAATTATTAAATCATCTAGAAATGTGATTCTCAACCTTGGCTGATCATTGGAAGAAGCAAAAACTGTGAAATCAGATTCTCTGAGGTAGGGCCTTACGTTGGAAGCTTCTTAATTATACACATATGCAGCCAAGGTTGAGAACCACGGACTTAAAATAGCCTTTGGTATCCACGGGGGCTTGATTCCAGGATACCCCTCAGATACCAAAATCTGTGATTGCTCAAGTCTCTGATATAAAATCGTATAGCCTTTTGGTGGCACACTGCCACTTAGTGGATTTTAGAGCAGTGGTTCCTAATTAGCATGCATCTGAATCAGTGGCAAGAGACCCTATTAAAACATAGATTACTGGGCTTCATGCACAGAACCCTGAATCAGTAGGTCTAACGGGAGGCCTAAGAATTTGCATTTCTAGCAAGTTTCAGGTGATGCCAGTGCTGCTTTTTTGGACTGCCCTTTGAGAACCACTTCAGATTTAGGTATCACTCTTTGAGAACCACTGATTTAGGATCTTACTTTCTGAGTTGGTCTCTTAAACTTCCTTTTAGTTTAAGTGATCACCATACTCCACTACCCACCAGATACACACCCACATACCCTTTGTAAGCTATCATTAAGCATTACTAGGAGCCTCCAGATGCCTGCACTAATACTAAAGGGTAGTTGTACCTCTGGATGAGGGATTTGTTGTGGCTCACCTGGGGACACTTCAAATGAACTTCATTCTTCCCTTCCTCTATTCTGTGAAGTATAAAGTACACAGATTAGTTTAGAGGTCTCTTCATACTGTAGCTACAGGCCCCTTTTTCTTTAACTCTTCAATAATTTTGAAAAATCTCAAAAGTTTAATGTTTTCACCCCTAATTTCTCTTGCTAATTTGTTTCTAGCAAAAATGTGTCTTTGTCAGCAGTGCTGGTAAGTGATTACAGATAAGGTAGGGTTAGGCAGTACCGATGACCCTCCAACAACATGGGTTTGAACTTACAGGTGGATTTTCTTCCCCCGCCACCTCTGACACAGCAAGACCAACCCCTCCTCTGCCTCCTCTTCCTCATCCTACTCAGTGTGAAGACAATAAGGATAAAGACCTGTACGATAATCCCTCTTCTACTCATTGAATAGAAAATATATTTTTCTCTCTTATGATTTTCTTAAAAACTTTTTCTTTTTTCTAGCTTACTTTATTGTAAGAATACAGTATATAGTACATATGACTTAAAAATATATATTAATCAACTGTTTGTGTTATTGATAAGGCTCCCAGTTAACAGTGGGCTATTCGTAGTTAAGCTTTTGGGGAGCCAAAAGTGTTTAAGGTGCCATCTTGAAAACCAGAGGCTAGTAACATGATCTTCGACATTTTAGCCTCTAGAACTGTGAAAAAAAAAAAAAAATCTGTCCTTTACTCATTGCCCAGTCTGTGCTACAGTCATTTTTTGGTATCCATGGGGGCTTGATTCCAGGATACGCCTCAGATACCAAAATCTGTGATTGCTCAAGTCTCTGATATAAAATGGTACAGTGGCCGGGTATGGTGGCTCATGCCTGTAACACCAGCACTTTGGGAGGCTGAGGTGGGTGGATCACCTGAGGTCAGGAGTTTGAGACCAGCCTGTCTAACATGGTGAAATCCTGTCTCTACTAAAAATACAAAATTATCCAGGCATGGTGGCACATTCCTGTAATCGCAGCTACTTGGGAGGTTGAGGCAGGGGAATTGCTTGAAGCCAGGACATGGAGGTTGCAGTGAGCTGAGATTGCACCATTGCACTCCAGCCTGGGCAACAAGAGTGAAACTCCATCTCAAATAAAATAAAATAAAATTGTATAGTATTTGCATATAACCTATGTACATCTTCCCATATACTTGAAATAATCTCTGGATTACTTATAAAACCGAATACAGTGTAAATGTTATGCAAATAGTTGTTATACTATCTTTTTTTAAATTTGTATTTTGTATTTTTATTTTTTGTGTTTTTTGGGAGGAATTTTTTGTTTTGTTTTGTTTTTGAGATGGAGTTTTGCTCTCATTGCCCAGGCTGGAGTGCAATGGCGCACTCTCGGCTCACTGCAACCTCTGCCTCCTGGGTTCTAGCGATTCTCCTTCCTCAGCCTCCCAAGTAGCTGAGATTACCGGCGCCCGTCACCACGCCCAGCTAATTTAAACTTTCTGTGCTTCGGTGTCCTCATCTACAGAAAGGGAATAATACTCCCATTTTGTAGAATTTTTGTGTGTGGTATTATATGAGAGAATGAGAAAAAATGTCTGGTACTTTGTAATAAATTAAAAATTCAATACATTTCTAAATGTATTGAAAAAAAAAACCCACGATGATACCTCTTGAGTGTTTCTTCTCCTTGGAGATGACTTGCTTTTTTATAGAACAGGGGTTAAGGCATATTAGGGGCCTGGCATGTCATTAGTCCCTTCAGTAATACACGTTGATAGGGAACCAACAGATTTAGCTACCCCACGATATAGCATATCCAAGGCTTAGATTTATAGATTCAAGAACATTTAAAAATATTTGTCTATGGGGCACCTCTGACGGTTGAGTTTTGTTATTGCCATCAGCGCCCACTCACTTTTTGGTTAAGTGTTGTTTTTGTCTCTCCTCTTCCTTGGTCCTTGGAGATAATCGTTATAATTTTAATAAGCTAGCACTGCATTAAAAATGATATGCATTGAAATTTAAGATTCTAGTTGTTAAATAGGGTAATTCATATACTATTCTTTTTGAAGTGGAAGTTGAGGCTAGCATAATTCATAAACTCCTTCTCAATAGGTATTGCTTTTTAAAAAATTAACTTTATTCCTGATTATATAACTGTTTTAATTTACATAGTTGTGTTGGGTGAACTGTATAAATGTCCATATTTACAGGAGTGGTTCCCAAACATCTCTCCCTGTCCCAGTCCATTATGATGGCATTATTATTCACCAGGGGAGAGGGTGGTTGTGGAGCACAGAGCAGGGCACTGAGCCAGTGACCAATACGCCTAGCGTGAGGGCTCCTTTCCAGTGTACAAATCATGGATGTAAATTATTAACCCCTAGTTTGCTTTTTTTGGCTAACAAAATATCATTATGTCACTGGCTGTCAAGGAGAGTGAAAAGCAGCTTTATGAAGTTCCTTCTCCCATTTTTTTTTTTTAGGGGAATATACACTATACTCAGCCATACCCTAGAAATCAGAGCCCCATACATGCTAGGCATTTTTGTAACCTTAGCCTATGCCATCATCCATATTAATGCCTTTTAAAACTTCCTCTGTGTCTTTACCTTCCTCAGTGGACTTTGAACCCTTCACGGGGATGGATTGTGTCATATTATTCTCAGAGTCTCAAGGACCTAAGAGAGTTCCTAGCTCATGACATGTGCTGAGTAGTTTTGCTGCATGAAAGAATTTGAATTGAAGATCATTTGTTCCTTTTTAAAAGACTTTTAGAGGAAATTCCATGACCTCATTCATTCATTTCATGTTTAATAGTGCATATTGCTTACAGATTTTATTTATTTTGTTGCTTTCTGAGCCCATCTTTCAGTCTGTTTTCAGTTGTGATAGGCAATTCATTCATTATTCTTTGTATTTGGGATCAAGGCATTAGAGAGATGTGTAATACAGACTTTGGAGTCAAACAGAGCTGGGTGTGAATTGGGACTTTGCCACTTTTTAAATGTTGTTGTTGGATACATTACTTAACTTCACTATTGTCTCTTCATTTGTAAAATGAGTATGAAAAAGTACCCACTATAGGATAATTATGAGGACTGAGTGAGGCAGTGCACACAAAGTTCTTAGGCTGGCGCATAATAAGTGCCCAATACAACAATTTTTTATTGTAGTTGACGTTTAGATAGTTGGTTTTCAATAAGCATGTTTTTCTTAAACCTGATTATTTAAAGTCATCCAATGATTCATTTGTTTTCCTTAATTTCAGTTGTTAGTTGGAGAAATGTTTACAGCCTAGTGAAAATGTGTGCGGTAGACCAGTAAGATCACCTACTTAATAAAATCATCTATTTGCTAGGTTAAATTTTGCTCTGTATTATTAATTATGGAAATTGATTTTCTTGCTTTGAAACTTTATTATGTTTACCCAGTTATTTATCCTAGTGAAATAAATTATCAACGAAAATGCTGCTTCTAAAATTTTCATTGGGATGATTGATAACTTAGAAATGTCATATTTATTGAAGAAATAGAATTATTTTTATTCAGAACAAATTCACTTTGTGATTATGCACATTTAATTTTATTTATAGACTTTTACATCCCAGTGGTGCTAAGTGAAGTGAATTTTGCAAGATCATAGTTTCAGTGCCTTGAATGTCATTAAGTCCCAAGAATAAAGAGTGCTGACTTAGATGTCAGAAGACTTGCATTCTCATTCTGATTCCCTCAGTTCTTAGTCTGTGACCTTGGGCAAGTCATTTAACTACCAAGTTTCATTTTCTTTATCTTTTCCTGCCTTGTCTACCTCACAGAGTCATTGGGAGAGTGAAATGAAAAAATATTTAAGAATGGTGAAGACTGTGGAAATTAAAGATATTATTTTTGGTGTAAGGCAATTTTTAGAAAAGATAACAGCATGTAGGCTAAGACAGTGAAAATACATCCATTCACCTGACTTTTTATTCCAAATCAATATCAGAAATATTCAAGAAGTGTCTTTAATGTCTTTTTTATAGCTCACTTTGAAAGAAAATTTACAAATTACAGGGTGGCTTGTTATTTGTGTTCCCCTCTCCAGTATGTGCTGCCAGTTTGGATTTTGGCAATGCAGTTTTTTGTTGTCGTTAAGGCCCACTTTGAGTGAATGCTAACATCAGCAGATAGAGTTGAGGAAACTTTCTGAAAACAGCTAAACATACCAGTGCTTATCCATTGAGTGTGTGAGTCAGGAGACTCCTGTTTGCTTGGTCATGTTGATGTTTACATATGCTAAAATAATTTCTCCTGAGTGTCCATGCCCTCTCTTATCATTTCTCCTCTTGGTGAGGACCTGGAGCTTTTGGACATTGGGGAATGCATTGCAGCCTGTGTGTGGCACTCATTGGCCGGCCAGCTAGCCTTTTTTAGTGTTTACTGTTCCACTGGGATTAAGTAGTGAGTGGGGCTTCATGTAATAAATTGTGTCCCCTACAAATTCATATGTTGAAGTCCTAACCCCCAGTTCCTTATAATGTGACTACATTTGGAGATAGAGCCTTTAGAGATGATTAAGGTTAAATGAGGTCATATGAGTAAACGCTAATCACTATAACTGCGATTCTTATAAGAAGAGGAAGAGGCACCAGGGATTTGCACACACAGAGGAAAGAACATGTCGGGATACTGCGGGAAGGTGGCTATCTGCAAGCCAAGGAGAGAGAGGCCTCCAGAAAAACCAAACCTGCCAATGCCATGATCTTGGACTTTGAGCCTCTAGAACTGTGAGAAAGCAAATTTCTGTTTAAGCCACCCAGTCTGTGGTACTTTGCTATAGCAGCCCTGGCAAACCATTACATGGAGATCCCAGGTGCTTGGCACTACCAGGTGTATGTGTCGGTCATTAGGACTGTGAAAAGCACCTTAAAAGACCTGATGACCTTAATGTAAATTGAGTTTCAGTTTAAATTTAGTAGAGGGTAGAGGTTCACAGATTATATAGCCTGTTACAGCCTGTAAGTTTTTGGGTTTTGTTGCTGTTGTTGTTGTTTTTTAATGTAGAGCTAATGGTTTATTAGTCCATTTTCATGCTGCTGATAAAGACATACCTGAGATTGGGCAATCTACAAAAGAAAGATGTTTAATAGACTTACAGTACCACATAGCTGGGGAAGCCTCCCAATCATGGCAGAAGGCAAGGAGGGTAAGTCATGGCTTACATGGATGGCAGCAGGCAAAGAGAGCTTGTGCAGGGGAGCTCCCATTTTTAAAACCGTCAGATCTCATGAGACTTATTTATCGGGAGAAACAGGCCCCAATATTTCAGTGTAGGTTCTTTCTATTTTCCATAAGTGCCAGCTGGCTGAGAAATAAAGAGAAAGAGTACAAAGAGAGGAATTTTACAGCTGGGCCTCCAGGGGTGACATCACATATTGGTAGGACCGTGATGCCCACCTGAGCCTTAAAGCCAGCAAGTTTTATTAAGGATTTCAAAAGGGGAGGGTGTACAAGAACAGGGATTAGTTCACAAAGATCACATGCTTCAAAGGGCAAAAAGGAGAACAAAGATCACATGCTTCTGAGGAAACAGCAAAGGGCAAAACCAGAAACTCCTGATAAGGGTCCAAAAAAGATCACAAGACAAAGGGCAAATGCAAAGATCACAAGGCAAAGGGCAAAAGCAGAATTACTGATAATGGTCTATGTTCAGCGGTGCACGTATTGTCTTGATAAACAAACAACAGAAAACAGGGTTTGAGAGCAGAGAACTGGTCTGACCTCAAATTTACCAGGGCAGGTTTTTTTCCCACCCTAATTAGCCTGAGGGTATTGCAGGAGACCAGGGCATATTTCAGTCCTTATCTCAACTGCATAAGACAGACACTCCCAGAGCGGCTGTTTGTAGACCTCCCCCCATGAATGCATTCCTTCTCCAGGGTATTAATTATTAATATTCCTTGCTAAGAAAAGAATTTAGCGATATCTTCCATACTTGCACGTCCATTTATAGGCTCTCTGCAAGAAGAAAAATATGGCTCTTTTTGCCTGACCCCGCGGGCAGTCAGACCTTATGGTTGTCTTCCCTTGTTCCCTAAAATCGCTGTTATTCTGTTCTTTTTCAAGGTGCACTGATTTCATATTGTTCAAACACACATGTTTTACAATCAATTTGTACAGTTAACACAATTATCATAGTGGCCCTGAGGTGACGTACATCCTCAGCTTATGAAGATGACAGGATTAAGAGATTAAAGTAAGACAGGCCTAAGAAATTATGAAAGTATTATTTGGGAACTGGTAAGTGTCCATGAAATCTTCACAATTTATGTTCCTCTGCTGCGGCTCCAGCTGGTCCCTCCATTCGGGGTCCCTAACTTCCTGCAACACTTATTTACTCTCAGGAGAACAGCATGGGAAAGACCTGCCCACATGATTCAGTGCTCTCTCACCAGGTCTCTCCTACAACATGTGGGAATTCAAGATGAGATTTGGGTGGGGACACAGCCAAGCCATATCATTCTGCCCCTGGCCCCTCCAAAATCTCATATCCTCACATTTCACAACCAATCATGCTTTCCCAACAGTCCTCCAAAGTCTTAACTCATCTCAGCATTAACTCAAAAGTCTACAGTCCAAAGTCTCATCCTAGACAAAACAAGTTCCTTCTGCCTATGAGCCTGTAAAATCAAAAGCAAGTTAGTTACTTCCTAGATACAATGGGTGTACAGGCATTGGGTAAATACAGCCATTCCAAACGGGAGAAATTGGCCAAAACAAAGGGGCTACAGGTCTCACACAAGTCTGAAATGCAGTGAGACAGCCAAATATTTAAAGCTCCAAAATGATCTCCTTTGACTCCATGTCTCACATCCAGGTCATGCTGATGCAAAAGGTGGGTTCCCACAGCCTTGGGCAGCTCCACCCTTGTGACAGACTGTTTTATTCCTCACCCCCTTCCCACCCTTTTCCCTCAAGTCCCCAAAGTCCATTGTTTCATTCTTATGCCTTTGCATCCTCATAATTTAGCTCCCACTTATGTGTGACAGCATACGATGTTTGGTTTTCCATTCCTGAATATTTATTTCACATAGAATAATAGTTTCCAGTCTCCTGCAGGTTGCTGTGAATGCCACTAATTTATTCCTTTTTATGGCTGAGTAGTATTCCATTGTATACATATATATATACATACCACAATTTCTTTATCCACTCGCTGATTGATGGGTGTTAGGGTTGGTTCCACATTTTTGCAGTTGCTAATTGTGCTGCTGTAAATGTGCGTGTGCAAGTATCTTTTTTGTATAATAACTTCTTTTCTTCTGGGTATATATCCAGTAGCGGGATTGTTGGATCAAATGATAGTTTTACTTTTAGTTCTTTAAGGAATCTCCACACGGCTTTCCATAGTGGTTGTACTAGATTACATTCCGACCAGCAGTGGTGAAGTGTTCCCTGTTCACTGCATCCCCATCAACATCTACTATTTTTTAATTTTTTGATTATGGCAATTCTTTTTTTTCGAGATGGAGTCTCGCTCTGTCACCCAGGCTGGAGTGCAGTGGTGCGATCTCGGCTCACCGCAAACTCCGCCTCCCAGGTTCTCGCCATTCTCCTGACTCAGCCTCCCAAGTAACTGGGACTACAAGCACCCGCCACCATGCCCGGATAATTTTTTGTATTTTTTAGTAGAGATGGGGTTTCACCATGTTAGCCAGGATGGTCTCGATCTCTTGACCTCGTGATCTGCCTGCCTCGGCCTCCCAAAGTGCTGAGATTACAGGCGTGAGCCATTATGCCTGGCCTGATTATGGCAATTCTTGCAGGAGTAAGGTGGTATCACACTATGGTTTTGATTTGCATTTCCCTCATCATTAGTAATGTTGAGCATTTTTTTCATATGTGTGTTGGCCATTTGTAGATCTTCTTTTGAGAATTGTCTTAGGTTTAAGTCCTTAATCCATCTTGAGTTGATTTTTGTATAAGGTGAGAGATGAGGATCCAGTTTCATTCTCTTACACATGGCTAGCCAATTATTTCAGGACCATTTGTTGAAAATGGTGTCCTTTCCCCACTTTATGTTTTTGTTTGCTTTGTTGAAGGTCAGTTGGTTGTAAGTATTTGGGTTTATTTCTGGGTTCTCTATTCTGTTCCATTGGTCTATGTGCTTATTTTTATACTGGTATAATGCTGTTTTGGTGACTGTGGTCTTCTAGTATAGTTTGAGATCAGGTAGTGTGATGCCTCCAGATTTATTCTTTTTGCTTAGTCTTGCTTTGGCTCTGTGGGCTCTTTTTTGGTTCCATATGAATTTTAGAATTGTTTTTTCTAACTCTGTGAAGAATGATGGTGGTATTTTGATTGGAATTGCATTGAATTTGTAAATTGCTTTTGGCAGTATGGTCATTATCACAATATTGATTCTACCCATCCATGAGCATGGGATGTGTTTCCATTTGTTTGTGTTTTCTATGATTTCTTTCAGCAGTGTTTTATAGTTTTCCATGTAGAGGTTTTTCACCTTCTTGGTTAGGTATATTCCTAAGTATTTTAATTTTTTTGCAGCTATTGTAAAAGGCCAAACCCCGATTTTTGACTTCTGTGCACTGGCAGGCTCAACACAATGTAGAAGGTGCCAAGGCTTGAAGATTGCACCCTCTGAAGCCACGGCCCGAACTCTATGTTGGCCCCTTCCAGCCATGGCTGAAGCAGCTGGAATACAGGGCACCAAGTGGCTAGGCTACACACTGCATGGGGCGGGGGGCCCAGCCCACAAAACCACTTTTTCCTTCTAGGCCTGTTGGCCTGTGATGAGAGGGGCTGCTGTGAAGACCTCTGACATGCTCTGGAGACATTTTCCCCATTGTCTTGGGGATTAACATTTGGCTTCTCGTTACTTATGCAAATTTCTGCAGCTGGCTTGGATTTCTCCTCAGAAAATGGGATTTTCTTTTCTACCACATTGTCAGGCTGCAAATTTTCCAAACTTTTATGCTGTGCTTCCCTGATAAAACTGAATGTCTTTAACAGCACCCAAGTCACCTCTTGAATGCTTTGCTGCTTAGAAATTTCTTCCACTAGATACCACAAATCATCTCTCTCAAGTTTAAAGTTCCACAAATCTCTAGGGCAGGGGCAAAATGCTGCCAGTCTCTTTGCTAAAACATAACAAGAGTCACCTTTACTCCATTCCGCAATAAGTTCTTCATCTCCATTTGAGACCACTTCAACCTGGGTTTCATTGTCTATATTACTATCAGCATTGTGGGCAAAGCCATTCAACAAGTCTCTAGAGAGTTCCAACTGGTATGTTTTCAGCAGCGCCCCACTCCAATGTACTGTATTTGTTTTCATGCTTCTGATAAAGACATACCTGAGACTGGGCAATTTACAAAAGAAAGAGGTTTAGTGGACTTACAGTTCCATGTAGCTGGGGAAGCCGCACAATCATAGCAGAAGGCAGGGAGGAGCAAGTCATGTTTTTCACGGATGGTAGCAGGCAAAGAGCGGCAGCTTGTGCAGGGAAACTCCCGTTTTTAAAACTATCAGATCTTGTGAGACTTACTCACTATCACGAGAACAGCATGGAAAATACCTGCCCCCCATGATTCAATGACCTCTCACCAGGTCCCTCCCACAACACATGGGAATTCAAGATGAGATTTGGGTGGGGACACAGCCAAACCATATCAGATGTCAAAGCTACATTTGGTATGGAAAAGACAAAAACAACAATATTTGAGATAGTGCATTTGTATGCCTACTTTTATATCTTTAATAGTTTGATATGCTTTTTTACTCTTAAAAATCTGGAGGAATTAATACATGTAGCTCAAAATCTCTTTAAGTGACATGCACATGTTCTCATATGGGAGCTAAAGGAGTGGACTTCATGGAGGTAGAGAGTAGAATGGTGGTTACTGGAGGATGGGAAGGGTAGCGGGGAGGGGAAATGAGAAGAGGTGGAAGGAATAAAGTGTAGTGTTTGATAGCACAGTAGGGAGGTTATAGTTAATGGTAATTTATTTTATATTTTGAAATAGCTAGAAGAAAAGATTTAGAATGTACCCAACACAAACAAATGATAAATGTTTAAGGTGATGGATATCCTAATCACCCTGATTTGGTCACTACACATTGTATGCATGTATCAGAATACTACACGTACCCATAAATATATACCATTATTATGTATCAATAGAAATCTTTTTAAAAAAGAGACCTGCACAACGTGTATTATTTTTATAGTTTTGTTTGTTTTAAAGCATCATGCTTTCTCATACTGGTTAACTCAGACCAAGTATTGTTTTGATGTTAATATTAATGACACAGTCTAATTTATGTATGAATTTTGGGGAAGAAGACACTTATCCATTAATGTTTTTTAGTTGGCTTAATTTTGATGTTTAAGTATTGAGTCCTGTTGATATGCCTGTTCACTGAAGTGACCATTTTATAGATAAGAAAATTGTACTATCTTTTCATACACAGTTCTGTGCTATTTGTTGTTGCTTGCACATGCACTATCTCATCCTCTCAAAAACCTGTAGAGGTTAGCATTACTCCCTTAATTTTCAGATGAGGAAGCGATTTCCAGAAAAGTTAAGGTACTTTCTCAGAGTCACACAGTAAATTCATGGATCCCATATTTCCTGACTCTCTAGAGCTCTTTTTCTGTTTATTACGCCCAGGTAGATGAAAAGCCCAAGAACTGAGAAGTGCATTTGAAATGTGCATAAAACTATATGCACAGATATGCTTGTGTTTGTGTGTGTTTGTAATGTGAGACAGAATGTGCTTCCCTTGTTTCGAGTTCTTTGCCTTTCTGGTTATTATGGTGGTAGTGATATGGGTATGTTTTTTTTTCCCTTTTTCTATCTTTTATGTATATGCACACACATATGTATGTACGGCAGTATCAAAATACAGCTTGAAGTGTGAGATTAGTTTTTTTTTGTTTTTTTTTTTTTTGAGATGGAGTCTCGCTCTGTTGCCCAGGCTGGGGTACAGTGGCACAATCTCGGCTCACTGCAAGCTCCGCCTCCCGGGTTCAAGCGATTCTCCTGCCTCAGCCTGCCGAGTAGCTGGGACTACAGTGCCTGCCACCACGCCTGGCTAATTTTTTGTGTTTTTAGTAGAGATGGGGTTTCACTGTCCAGGATGGTCTCGATCTCCTGACCTCGTGATCCGTCCACCTCAGCCTCCCGAAGTGCTGGGATTACAGGCGTGAGCCACCGCGCCCGGCAGAGATTAGTTTTTATCATCTGTAAGTTGATAGGATGGGTACAACTTCTGACTGGAAAAAGAAGATTGCAAGATGTCTACAGTTATTACATTTTATTTCAGTGGATACCAGAACCTGTTTCTTAAAGCTAAATGATGAGAATTTTTATTATTATTATTAAACAAATCTGTGTATGTTTCCTTTGCTCCTTGCTTTTCAATTAGATTTAAATGATATTTAAGTAGATAAGAAACAAATACGTGTCTGTTTTCTTAGAAAGAATAGTAAATTCAATGTTGTTTGGAAATATTTGTAGGCTTTTGAATTTTCTCCACCCTTTTCTACAGATGAATGCAAAGATTTTCCTAATCATTACATAAGAACATAACACTTTTATATCAATTAATGGCTCATGACCTATTAAATAAGCAATAAGTCTTGCTTGTATCTCAATTATGTTTTTCAGTCCAAAAGAGATGGGACTACATCAAAATCAGTTTCTCTGGAAAAACATCACATGTAATCTTCAGTCTTCTAATGTTGACAACAGTTTATGAAGGATATGTGTTAGTATTCAGATAACTCTTAAGCTAGCTCATTGTTCTGCAGTTTTTACTGAATCCCTGTCTTTCACGTTTCCTAGCAACTGGCTCACACATGGAAGATGCAGGAGTAAAGCCATCAGGGATTTGCTCTGCATCTATCTCTTAAACAGCATCTGAGAAATGGTAGCCAGACTACATTGTTTCACTTCATAGTTTCCACTAAAAGCTTGCCTTTTATGTTTATTAGCTTCTAAAATAGGATTGCCATAAAAGATTAGCATTAAAAATTGAGTAGTGATGATAAAATATCAAAGTCAAATTATTGGAAATTTTTATCAGTAATATTTCTTGAATAGTCATTGCTATTTATGTATATCTAAAAATGTGATGGTTACTGTGATACAGAGATGAAATAAAACGTTTTATATTTGAGAATTAAAATCTTTATTACAATATTATTCCTCTTAAATGCATAAGTACTTTAGAATTGTAAAATAAGATGCATCTTCAGTTTTGTTTTCCTTAAAAGAAAAGAGAGCAATAAACTTTAAATATATTACATGTATATGTATGTATATGTAACTGTACTCATATCTGTCAATTTTAAATATTTAAGTCAGCAAATTGAAAAATGCTTTGTGAGCTAAGTGATAGATTTTATTTTGGTTAAGGAAAGGAAAATAACAAGGACACAGCCCCAGTTTTTCTGTGTGAGAAAATGGTAGTAATTTGATTGTGTCAATTTTAACACATTTGGAAAATAGAAGCTACAATATGAATTTGTGCTTTTCTGCCTTATATTTTCATTGCCATTTAATCTTTCTGTCTAATCTTGGTGGTCCCAAATGTAAACTATAATGACATACACCTGTTAATACTACTACTACTAAGAACATATATGTTAGTAAATATGAGTACTCCAAGCTTGTTGAGCTTTTTGGGTTATAAGAATCTTAAGTGATGTCTCTTTCATTTTTAACTGTCACGGCCATTTTCCATAATTAACCCTAGGAAGGGGATGAAAAGGAAGGAAAACAGTGACAGGGGAAAGTGGCAAAATAGAGCAAGAGAAAAATAGAAAGAAAGATGAAAATGAGTGAAAGAAAATGGCTATGAGCTGTAAAAGGTAGAGTGGTAGAATTCAGCCAACCTGCTATTGTCTTTCTCCCTGCCACCTCTGTGGTAGTAATATTCTGTTTTTCTCTTGCCCAGTATTGAGTTTGCATATCATGCTAGCATCTGTCAGGGGAGAAATGGTGTGATCCATGGAATATTCAGAATGAAAATAGAATAAGGGTAGAAAGCACAACGTAATCACTTGGGTCCTCATGTGTGTGCTCTCTTTAGAATATAGGCTGCTTAATCGCCCCTTTGTCCTCTCCTGCTTTGGACCCCCACCCATTCACAATATCAATTCAGGGCAAATGAAGGCACCTCCCTCACTCCTCTCTTCTACCCCTACATCAGGCATCGCTGAGCAAGGTCACAGGTACCAGGGGAGCTCAGTGGTGGTATTTTGGATAAAGCTGTAATCCCTGCTACAATTGCTGTTTCTCTCTCCTTTGTAAATCAGCTTTGGGGCAATGGTAGCATGCATCTTACTGAGATCTTAAGCATAATTGCAATCAAAGAAGAGGAACAAGGATGCCTGCAGAACATTCAGGCTCACCAAATCAGGATGTGTGAGCTATAAGGGCAGGATGGGTGAGCTATAAAAGCTTTTGATTTTACATCAGAAACAAAATAACTCAACTACCATCACCGTTTCATTTTTTTTTAAAAAGATAGTAGAATATAATCTTGAAATGAAGGACAATACTTTCAAACAAAGAATATTAGGCAACTTCATACTGACACACAAGAAAAAATAATAGGATGGTGAGTGGGACATATTTTTATTGCCCTGAATTGATGCTGTGGATGGGTGGGGGTCCAAAGCAGCAGAGGACAAAGGGGCTGGTAAGTAGCCTGTATTCTAAAGAGAGCACCCATGTGGGAAGAGAGGGGTCTTCCTCACATCCCAAACCAACCAATACAGATCAAGAAAATCATTGGTAAACATGAGAGGGACCTGCTTGACTGGGAGAGGCTAACATCCCATTGCCTAGCTAGACATGCACTTATGAGGCGTCCTTGCTAATCTGCCTCCTGTGTCTACTTAAGTAGGAACACTGGAGCATGATGGCAGCAGGGGAGTGGGGTGAACACGGAAGATGATGGGAGCAGAGCACTGGAGTGGCCTGAAAAACTATCATGTGGTAGGGCTACGATGTCACTTGGAGCCCATTTGAGATGAAGGAAAAAGCTTTAACCCAGATATAAGATTGAAGTTTTAAAGCAAATGGACTTACACAAATTGAGGAAAAGGATTTGAGAACTCTGCTATCTATGAGAAACTGTGGGCAGTTCTACAAAGCACTGCTGTGTGAAGTAAGTAGAGAAAAACACAGTCTTTCATGGTTGAACTCCGTGAAGTTAAGACTGTATAAGGAACAAGATAACTGTCTGCAAATCAGAGGAAACTTCTCTGTGGACCAGTACAGGCTCACAGATTGATTTTTAGGAAAGACCTAATCTGGTCCAAGCCTTCACTTTACAGGAGGAAAATCAGTGTTTGGCACACACTTCAGGGGGAGAGAGAGAGCTCCGTTGATGAAAAAAGGAGACTTGAACCTTGAAGCCTAGGTTTGAGAATCGAATACAATTGAGACTAATTTGAGTATGTGTTTGTGTGAGTTTGGAGGTTTGAAAAGCTCTGATTAGAGCTTTTGTTGTAGAGAGAGTTGGCATTGCTTAAAGTTTCTAAACTGTGATCATATAATGCATACATAAAGTATGGATATTAATATATTGAAGTGTCCCAAGCACAGCTGCCACTAGGGGGCAATGGAGGCCCCCCACAGTGTCACAACCACCTAGTCGTAGCCCTAGAACCAGGGTTGCAAGAAAATCCCTTTGCCTGCTTTTGCCCTGTTTCCTTCAGCACTGTTCAGCACTATGGGTGAATAGAGCACCCATTCCCCAGATTTTGTGCTTCCCTGGTGTGTGCTGAGATACTATCCCCAGAATACAGTACAGCCAGAAATCCAAGTGTGGGCACATCCTTCTTGTACTTTTGATAATGTTGTTAAGTAGAAGAACTCTTACTCAGAGGAGAATGCACTGCTGGAACATGTGTTAGAAGTTAAAGTCCACACTCCCCATGTAAAATATGTATTTATCTCTCATGTGAATGTTATTCATTCAATCATTGAGCATTTATTGAGTACTCTGTGTGCTTGGCCCTCTTCTGTCCTCAGGGATATTGTGAAGAGATAGAGACATTCCTGCTCTGTTAGAAGGAACTCACTTTCCAGTGGGAGGAAGATGAGAAATAAAGAAGTAAATAAATATGTGTAAGACTACTTTATATAATAAAAGGAACTAATATTTGATCGTTATGACTCCAGAATACATGGCCATAGGTGTTACTAGAGTAGACATAGAACAATAGAACTGTATATAAAAGGAAGGAGTCCTAGACTTGGAATAATATTTTCTCCTCACTGGCTTCCTGTTAAAAATTAGAGCTATAGTCCTATCAGAGAAAACTCCAGGAGAATAAAATTGTGATTTTGTGGCCAAAAAACCCAAGTGTGGATGCAACCATAAACCGATCACTAAGAACACATTTACATTATTTAGGAGCTTGATGTATTTTACAGTAATTTCTCATCTGTAAAATTTCCTGACAGCAGTGGCAATTTTCTTTTTGTTTACCCAAACCTTGATCCTCTTCTGGATCATGGGGATTAATTTCTTTACTGGGGATTCTCTCAACTAGAACATTAAAAGTCTGCTTCCCTACAGTGTATTCTTATGCAAGACTTTGTGGAAAAAAAGTTGTGCATATGGCGATGATATTTTTAGCCCTTTCCATGTCAGTCAAGCCTGAATCTTCTTTTAAGACCTAGTTTCAGTGTCATTGGTTGTGTGTGTCTTCTTCCCTGGCATTCTCCATAACCCAGCCAGAGCAAGACATCCATTTTTGATTATTCATTCACTCAGAAAATGAATACCTGTTACATGCCAGGCACCATTGGGGGCACTGAAGATTTGGCAGTGATGAATGAAAGGAAGCCTGCCTTAAAGTTTTATTTCTAGTGGGGAGGGGTGACCAAGGAACACATAAACATATGAAGGTGGTAATAAATGTTAACAGATAATGGTGATAAAAGGTAAAATTTAATGAGCAGATTGATAAAGGATGGTTGAGGATATTGAGGCAAGAGGGTTGCACCTTTTTATAGGTTGGTCCAGGAAAGTCAGAGAGGTGGCATGTATTCAAAAGACTAAAATACGTGAGGAGAGTGAGCCATGTGGCTATCTGAGTCTGTGTGGGTAAAGCAGAATTGGCATGGAGAGTTTCAGGGGGTAAGGGCAGAAGACCAGATTATGTAGGGACTGTGAGGATTTAGGCTTTTATTCAAGAATGAGAAGGGAAGCCACTGAAGGGTTATGAGTAGAGGACTGACACAGCAGACTTAGGTTTACAAAGGCTCATCTGGCTCCTGCGCTCAGAGTACATGGAGTGAGACAATGGTGGAATCTGGCCCCTTAAATTGGAGGCTGTTGGAATAATTTGGGAAAGAGATGCTGGTGGCCTAGGCCTAGGTGATTGCTATGGGGGTTGTGAGAGGAGGCGACGTATAGAGTTAACAATATTTACTGATGCATTGGATGGGGATATTAGAAGAAGAGGAATGAAAGATGACTCAAAGGTTTTTGACTTATATATGATAAAAATCTTAAGCTTTGGTCATAAGCTATGAATTTAACAACTTGGTTTCCTCTTTAGCAGCATTTTCCTCCCCCCCTTCCTTCCTTCCTTCCTTCCTTCCTTCCTTCCTTCCTCCCTCCCTCCCTTCTTCCCTCCCTCCCTCCCTCCTTCCTTTTCTCCCTCTCCTCCCCCTCCTCCTCCTTCCCCTCCTCCTCCTAGTCTTCTTCTTCTTCCTCTTTTTTTCATTCATTCTTTTTCTCTTTCTTTCTTTCCTTTGTTTTCTTTTTTCTTTCTTCTTTCTTTCTTTCGTTCATTCTTTCTTTCTTTTTCTCCTTCCTTCCTTCCTCTTTTTTTAAATATAAAAACAGGCAAGTTTCATGAAAGATAACTCACACAATAAGTAACATATCTGACTAATAGATATATGAAAAGATCTTTATTTTCCACCAGTTAAAGTAATATAAATTAAAACAATGCAATAATTTTTTTCAACAATTATGTTGTTGATGATTAGAATATTGATAATACCAATGTGCCAAAGTATGAAAAAATGATTACTCTTTTACACATTATTACTTGGTGGCAGCTTATATTGGTACAACATTTTAAAGTGGCAATTTAGCACTGTTAAAAATAAGACATTTACAAAACTTTCGGCCCAGCATTTTTGCATCTGGGAATCTATTTAAAAAAAACTGTCCCTACATATATGCAAAGATATGTACATCTAGAAGATTGTTCCTTGCAATATTGTTTGTAGTCGCGAAAAACTGGAAACCATCTAAACATTTATCAATAGGGGATTTACTAAGTTCAGACCAAGGCAAAGAATTAATAGTGATGATTTTCACGGGTAGAATTGGAGGGTCAGTGGGGGATTTCACTCTTTTTCTTGTGTGCCTTTATTTTAATGTTTTACTATATTAAACAGTACTTTTACAGTAAGAAAAATATTTCAAAAGTTATTTTTAGAAAAAGCCTCAAAATTATTTTGATAGAATAATAATACAAAATAAGCACTCACAAGTATATGACAGCATTATATTAAAAAGATTAAACTGTAGTAATAAAGGATAATCCCAGGAATCCGATGATGCTTTATTACAAGAAAATATATTTGTAATTTATCAAAAAGTGAAAAAAAATAAATTTGACCTTTGGCAGCTTTTCAAGTAACCTTTTGGTTTTAAGAAAAAACAGTGTATAAATGTATAAAGATCATGGTCTCAGGTACCTTCTACATGCTGTTGATTACTAAATTCATAGCTGTTTGAATATCTCAAAGGATGCAGTAGCTATTAATTGAGAAGGACTGTGAGAGAAACAGGTTATTGTTATTATTTTGGGGAAGGGAGTCAGGAGTTTGCTTTTGACACATTTCATTTGAGATGTCTTTTAGACATCCAGCTGAAGAAATTGAGTAGACAGTTGGTGAGCAAGTTTTCGGTTCAAGAGACAGGGCAAATTTGGAGATATGAATTTGGGAATCAGCAGTGTATAGATGTATCATGATTTTTATACATGTGTCAGTTGCAGCACTTACCTCATTATTTTGTCATTGTTTGTTGACATATTTGTCTGTCTACATTAAAATCCTTGGGGGCAGAGACCACATCTTGTTTGACATTTTAATATTTCATTCATGGCAATCTTGCCATGATGTGAAGCTATAGGTTTGTTTTCTTTGGATATGATTGACTGGAGCTATGATTAACTTAGGCTTTGTCCAGGGAAAGCCATTTTTCTTAAAACTAAAAGGTTATAGCTTAAAGGCAGCCAAAGGGGAAACCAGGTTGTTAAATTTATAGTTTATGATCAAAGCTTAAGATTTTTATTATCTCTAGGTATTTAAATCTTGCCCTCAATTGCTGATATCCTTGTGTCTCTAGGAAATAACATGCCTTTTGATGGCTCAACTCAGTACACAGTCATAATCTAGGCACAAATGGCAGCTTTAACCAAGACCAGGCTTGTTGCCTTCGAGGAAATAAACTTCATGCCAACTCAGACTGTTGGCAAGCACCATAGATATGCCTGAGATTTGTTCTCTTTGAAATTGGTCGGTTTGATCAGTGTGGTCTACAGACTGATTTCTGTCCATAAACACCCTCCCTCTTTTTTTTTTTGTCTGCTAAGATACATTTAAAAAATCTTTTTTTTTTTGGTCTGCTTAAATACAGGTTAAATACAGAAAAAGAGAGTAGGCATATAGAAAGTTTTATAGCAATCAGTCACCGTAATTTTATGTCTATTGAATTTAGTTTTCAAAATTGTATTTTGTGTGCCTTTTTTCATTTTTTTTCAGTAATTCATTTCGTTGTATTTAACAAAAGTATCAATCTGCAACAGATTGAACTTAAAAAACATTGGTCCTTCCTCCATAGTTTGAGAAACCATGCACTAGTTCATATCACGAAGCACCTCATAGATTGAGAGCTCAGATAAATCAGTGGCGACGAGGTGGGTGAACGTGTAGTAAACAGGCATGGATCAGTATCTCCAGAATATGTGTATGCTTTGAAAATAATTCTGCAATGGTCCAAATGTTTGTGTCCCTACTCCCCACCCCAATTCATATATTGAAATCCTAACCCCAAGGTTAGGCCCCATCTCCCGATGACCCCATCTCCTAATATAAATCCTCACCTGGAGGTTAGGATTTATATTAGGATATGGGGCCTTTGGGAGGTGATTAGGTCATGGTGGAACCCTCACAATTGGAACCAAGGCCTTTATTTTAAAAGCCTGAGAGAGATCTCTCCCCTCCCGTCATGTGAGGACACAGTGATGTGCTGCCTGAACCAAGACACAGGCCCTCACCGCACAGTGAATCTTCTGGAGCCTTGATCTTGGATTTCCCAGCCTCCAGAATGGTGAGAAATAAACATTTATTGTATATAAACCCCTAAGTTTATGGCACTATTATAGCAGCTGAAATGGACTAAGACAAATTCTTTACTCCATTTTTCGTATCATGACTTATTGAAGGAGGTATGATATGGTAGCATGAAAAGAGGTAAAGAACCACCCTACTGCAGAGAACAGAAAAGGTTTGGAGTTTGATTTTTGTTGATTAAGCTGCCTGTGATCTCAAGTCTGGCATTTAATGGGCAGACTATAAGGTATGTGACCACTGCTGGATTTTGTAAACATTTCATTTTAGCATTCAAGCTTTAGATGTGTCTTTCTGTATCAGTACATTGTTTTATGCTTTCCTAAAAGCAGCCTTCTTGTCTACAACCTCTCCATGCACTGAATTCCTATGCACTGAATTCCTAACTTTATTTTTTAGCTCCTGGAACACTTTTATACCTTTCATTTCTCTTTTGATACTTCAAGCAGAAGCTATTTAGAGACACACTGTGAATAAATCATTTTAGTCAGTTCCTTAATACTTTTCTTAACCATTATTACCTCCTATGAATAATTTTATTTCACTTTTATTAAATAAGCAGAGGTAATCTGCATCAGAGAATGCAAATAATGGCTAACTTGGTAATTTTAGGAAAGAGAAACAGGCAGATATAGGCATAACAGTAAAGGGAAGCTAAAAGAATTCTAACAAACTAACACCAAGAAACCAACAGCAGGAGGAGTAGAAAACAGAGCACTGGGAAGAGAGACAAAATTGCGATAATCATGATTTCCTCGAGACAGTGTTTGGAGATGGTTTCCCTTTGTTTTTCATTTTTTGTAATTTTCCAGATTGTGAACATTAACCATGTATTACTATTATTATAGTTAAAAATTGTTTGCATATATCCCTCCCCCATATGTGTGAGTAACTTAAGTATAGGTAACAGAAGCAAACTGGTGGGTTTGGTATTCTAGTTATGATATTCTCGCTTTTATGGGGCATAAAAATCATTGTCAGATTCTTCCTTCTTGGTGATTTCCCCAGTGGCCTCCCATAGATTGCTTCTTCGTCTTTGTAAAGATATATGACAGCAAATCTCTACCAGTTAATGAGCACGTGAAAAGCTATCTATCTAAGGGCTGTGTGTTTTGCTACTTACAAAGCCGTAAAGATGTTGACAAAAATATCTGAATCCCTGTAGGATATTCTCCATTTTTCATCAAGACGGACATTAGCCTCTTAAAAAAATTAACTGAGAGAAACTGTTGACTACCTTTTAAGTAACATCATCAAAGAAGTAAATGGCTTTGATTTTTTTTAAAAAGCAGTTTTTAGAAATTATGAATGGAATATATTCACTGGATATTAGTAATCCAGAACTTCTGCATTAAACCTTCATAATTAATTGTAGTAATGCTTTTCTAAAAATTTACTTTGTCTATTGTATATTACACAATATTGTAATCTAGTTTTGGTACCAGGAATTTACACTTAAATTGGGTAAAAACAAAAGTTAAATGAAAAACATTTAACTTTTTAAAGTTATTTTTATTTCCGTCTCTTTTATTAAATTCTTTGTTTATAGAAGATTGCACTTACCGTTGCTCTGTTCTCATATTTTATAAGCACTTTTTTTTTTATTATACTTTAAGTTTTAGGGTACATGTGCACATTGTGCAGGTTAGTTACATATGTATACATGTGCTGTGCTGGTGCACTGCACCCACTAACTCGTCATCTAGCATTAGGTATATCTCCCAATGCTATCCCTCCCCCCTGCCCCCACCCCACCACAGTCCCCAGATTGTGATATTCCCCTTCCTGTGTCCATGTGATCTCATTGTTCAGTTCCCACCTATGAGTGAGAATATGTGGTGTTTGGTTTTTTCTTCTTGCGATAGTTTACTGAGAATGATGGTTTCCAATTTCATCCATGTCCCTACAAAGGACATGAACTCATCCTTTTTTATGGCTGCATAGTATTCCATGGTGTATATGTGCCACATTTTCTTAATCCAGTCTATGATTGTTGGACATTTGGGTTGGTTCCAAGTCTTTGCTATTGTGAATAATGCCGCAATAAACATACGTGTGCATGTGTCTTTATAGCAGCATGATTTATAGTCATTTGGGTATATACCCAGTAATGGGATTGCTGGGTCAAATGGTATTTCTAGTTCTAGATCCCTGAGGAATCGCCACACTGACTTCCACAATGGTTGAACTAGTTTACAGTCCCACCAACAGTGTAAAAGTGTTCCTATTTCTCCACATCCTCTCCAGCACCTGTTGTTTCCTGACTTTTTAATGATTGCCATTCTAACTGGTGTGAGATGATATCTCATAGTGGTTTTGATTTGCATTTCTCTGATGGCCAGTGATGATGAGCATTTTTTCATGTGTTTTTTGGCTGCATAAATGTCTTCTTTTGAGAAGTGTCTGTTCATGTCCTTTGCCCACTTTTTGATGGGGTTGTTTCTTTTTTTCTTGTAAATTTGTTTGAGTTCATTGTAGATTCTGGATATTAGCCCTTTGTCAGATGAGTAGGTTGCGAAAATTTTCTCCCATGTTGTAGGTTGTCTGTTCACTCTGATGGTAGTTTCTTTTGCTGTGCAGAAGCTCTTTAGTTTAATTAGATCCCATTTGTCAATTTTGGCTTTTGTTGCCATTGCTTTTGGTGTTTTGGACATGAAGTCCTTGCCCACGCCTATGTCCTGAATGGTAATGCCTAGGTTTTCTTCTAGGGTTTTTATGGTTTTAGGTCTAATGTTTAAATCTTTAATCCATCTTGAATTGAGTTTTGTATAAGGTGTAAGGAAGGGATCCAGTTTCAGCTTTCTACATATGGCTAGCCAGTTTTCCCAGCACCATTTATTAAATAGGGGATCCTTTCCCCATTGCTTGTTTTTCTCAGGTTTGTCAAAGATCAGATAGTTGTAGGTATGCGGCGTTATTTCTGAGGGCTCTGTTCTGTTCCATTGATCTATATCTCTGTTTTGGTACCAGTACCATGCTGTTTTGGTTACTGTAGTCTTGTAGTATAGTTTGAAGTCAGGTAGTGTGATGCCTCCAGCTTTGTTCTTTTGGCTTAGGATTGACTTGGCAATGCGGGCTCTTTTTTGGTTCCATATGAACTTTAAAGTAGTTTTTTCCAATTCTGTGAAGAAAGTCATTGGTAGCTTGATGGGGATGGCACTGAATCTGTAAATTACCTTGGGCAGTATGGCCATTTTCACGATATTGATTCTTCCTACCCATGAGCATGGAATGTTCTTCCATTTGTTTGTATCCTCTTTTATTTCCTTGAGCAGTGGTTTGTAGTTCTCCTTGAAGAGGTGCTTCACATCCCTTGTAAGTTGGATTCCTAGGTATTTTATTCTCTTTGAAGCAGTTGTGAATGGGAGTTCACTCATGATTTGGCTCTCTGTTTGTCTGTTGTTGGTGTATAAGAATGCTTGTGATTTTTGTACTTTGATTTTGTATCCTGAGACTTTGCTGAAGTTGCTTATCAGCTTAAGGAGATTTTGGGCTGAGACGATGGGGTTTTCTAGGTAAACAATCATGTCGTCTGCAAACAGGGACAATTTGACTTCCTCTTTTCCTAATTGAATACCCTTTATTTCCTTCTCCTGCCTGATTGCCCTGGCCAGAACTTCCAACACTATGTTGAATAGGAGTGGTGAGAGAGGGCATCCCTGTCTTGTGCCAGTTTTCAAAGGGAATGCTTCCAGTTTTTGCCCATTCAGTATGATATTGGCTGTGGGTTTGTCATAGATAGCTCTTATTATTTTGAAATACGTCCCATCAATACCTAATTTATTGAGAGTTTTTAGCATGAAGGGTTGTTGAATTTTGTCAAAGGCTTTTTCTGCATCTATTGAGATAATCATGTGGTTTTTGTCTTTGGCTCTGTTTATATGCTGGATTACATTTATTGATTTGCGTATATTGAACCAGCCTTGCATCCCAGGGATGAAGCCCACTTGATCATGGTGGATAAGCTTTTTGATGTGCTGCTGGATTCGGTTTGCCAGTATTTTATTGAGGATTTTTGCATCAATGTTCATCAAAGATATTGGTCTAAAATTCTCTTTTTTGGTTGTGTCTCTGCCCGGCTTTGGTATCAGAATGATGCTGGCCTCATAAAATGAGTTAGGGAGGATTCCCTCTTTTTCTATTGATTGGAATAGTTTCAGAAGGAATGGTACCAGTTCCTCCTTGTACCTCTGGTAGAATTCGGCTGTGAATCCATCTGGTCCTGGACTCTTTTTGGTGGGTAAGCTATTGATTATTGCCACAATTTCAGCTCCTGTTATTGGTGTATTCAGAGATTCAACTTCTTCCTGGTTTAGTCTTGGGAGAGTGTATGTGTCGAGGAATGTATCCATTTCTTCTAGATTTTCTAGTTTATTTGCGTAGAGGTGTTTGTAGTATTCTCTGATGGTAGTTTGTATTTCTGTGGGATCGGTGGTGATATCCCCTTTATCATTTTTTATTGTGTCCATTTGATTCTTCTCTCTTTTTTTCTTTATTAGTCTTGCTAGCGGTCTATCAATTTTGTTGATCCTTTCAAAAAACCAGCTCCTGGATTCATTGATTTTTTGAAGGGTTTTTGTGTGTCTCTATTTCCTTCAGTTCTGCTCTGATTTTAGTTATTTCTTGCCTTCTGCTAGCTTTTGAATGTGTTTGCTCTTGCTTTTCTAGTTCTTTTCATTGTGATGTTAGGGTGTCAATTTTGGATCTTTCCTGCTTTCTCTTGTGGGCATTTAGTGCTATAAATTTCCCTCTACACACTGCTTTGAATGCATCCCAGAGATTCTGATATGTTGTGTCTTTGTTCTCGTTGGTTTCAAAGAACATCTTTATTTCTGCCTTCATTTCGTTATGTACCCAGTAGTCATTCAGGAGCAGGCTGTTCAGTTTCCATGTAGTTGAGCGGCTTTGAGTGAGATTCTTAATCCTGAGTTCTAGTTTGATTGCACTGTGGTCTGAGAGATAGTTTGTTATAATTTCTGTTCTTTTACATTTGCTGAGGAGAGCTTTCCTTCCAACTATGTGGTCAATTTTGGAATAGGTGTGGTGTGGTGCTGAAAAAAATGTATATTCTGTTGATTTGGGGTGGAGAGTTCTGTAGATGTCTGTTAGGTCCGCTTGGTGCAGAGCTGAGTTCAATTCCTGGGTATCCTTGTTGACTTTCTGTCTCGTTGATCTGTCTAATGTTGATAGTGGGGTGTTAAAGTCTCCCATTATTATTGTGTGGGAGTCTAAGTCTCTTTGTAGGTCACTCAGGACTTGCTTTATGAATCTGGGTGCTCCTGTATTGGGTGCATATATATTTAGGATAGTTAGCTCCTCTTGTTGAATTGATCCCTTTACCATTATGTAATGGCCTTCTTTGTCTCTTTTGATCTTTGTTGGTTTAAAGTCTGCTTTATCAGAGACTAGGATTGCAACCCCTGCCTTTTTTTGTTTTCCATTTGCTTGGTAGATCTTCCTCCATCCTTTTATTTTGAGCCTATGTGTGTCTCTGCACATGAGATGGGTTTCCTGAATACAGCACACTGATGGGTCTTGACTCTTTATCCAACTTGCCAGTCTGTGTCTTTTAATTGGAGAATATAGTCCATTTACATTTAAAGTTAATATTGTTATGTGTGAATTTGATCCTGTCATTATGATGTTAACTGGTGATTTTGCTTGTTAGTTGATGCAGTTTCTTCCTAGTCTCGATGGTCTTTACATTTTGGCATGATTTTGCAGTGGCTGGTACTGGTTGTTCCTTTCCATGTTTAGCGCTTCCTTCAGGAGCTCTTTTAGGGCAGGCCTGGTGGTGACAAAATCTCTCAGCATTTGCTTGTCTATAAAGTATTTTATTTCTCCTTCACTTATGAAGCTTTGTTTGGCTGGATATGAAATTCTGGGTTGAAAATTCTTTTCTTTAAGAATGTTGAATATTGGCCCTCACTCTCTTCTGGCTTGTAGGGTTTCTGCCGAGAGATCCGCTGTTAGTCTGATGGGCTTCCCTTTGAGGGTAACCCGACCTTTCTCTCTGGCTGCCCTTAACATTTTTTCCTTCATTTCAACTTTGGTGAATCTGACAATTATGTGTCTTGGAGTTGCTCTTCTCGAGGAGTATCTTTGTGGCATTCTCTGTATTTCCTGAATCTGAACGTTGGCCTGCCTTGCTAGATTGGGGAAGTTCTCCTGGATAATATCCTGCAGAGTGTTTTCCAACTTGGTTCCATTCTCCGCATCACTTTCAGGTACACCAATCAGACGTAGATTTGGTCTTTTCACATAGTCCCATATTTCTTGGAGGCTTTGCTCATTTCTTTTTATTCTTTTTTCTCTAAACTTCCCTTCTCGCTTCATTTCATTCATTTCATCTTCCGTTGCTGATACCCTTTCTTCCAGTTGATCGCATCGGCTCCTGAGGCTTCTGCATTCTTCACGTAGTTCTCGAGCCTTGGCTTTCAGCTCCATCAGCTCCTTTAAGCACTTCTCTGTATTGGTTATTCTAGTTATACATTCTTATAAATTTTTTTCAAAGTTTTCAACTTCTTTGCCTTTGGTTTGAATGTCCTCCCGTAGCTCAGAGTAATTTGATCGTCTGAAGCCTTCTTCTCTCAGCTCATCAAAATCATTCTCCATCCAGCTTTGTTCCGTTGCTGGTGAGGAACTGCGTTCCTTTGGAGGAGGAGAGGCGCTCTGCGTTTTAGAGTTTCCAGTTTTTCTGTTCTGTTTTTTCCCCATCTGTGTGGTTTTATCTACTTTTGGTCTTTGATGATGGTGATGTACAGATGGGTTTTTGGTGTGGATGTCCTTTCTGTTTGTTAGTTTCCCTTCTAACAGACAGGACCCTCAGCTGCAGGTCTGTTGGAATACCCTGCCATGTGAGGTGTCAGTGTGCCGCTGCTGGGGGGTGCCTCCCAGTTAGGCTGCTCGGGGGTCAGGGGTCAGGGACCCACTTGAGGAGGCAGTCTGCCCGTTCTCAGATCTCCAGCTGCGTGCTGGGAGAACCACTGCTCTCTTCAAAGCTGTCAGACAGGGACATTTAAGTCTGCAGAGGTTACTGCTGTCTTTTTGTTTGTCTGTGCCCTGCCCCCAGAGGTGGAGCCTACAGAGGCAGGCAGGCCTCCTTGAGCTGTGGTGGGCTCCACCCAGTTCGAGCTTCCAGGCTGCTTTGTTTACCTAAGCAAGCCTGGGCAATGGCGGGCGCCTCTCCCCCAGCCTTGCTGCCGCCTTGCAGTTTGATCTCAGACTGCTGTGCTAGCAATCCGCGAGATTCCGTGGGCGTAGGACCCTCCGAGCCAGGTGTGGGATATTGTCGCGTGGTGCGCCGTTTTTTAAGCCAGTCTGAAAAGCGCCATATTCGGGTGGGAGTGACCCGATTTTCCAGGTGCATCCGTCACCCCTTTCTTTGACTCCGAAAGGGAACTCCCTGACCCCTTGCGCTTCCCAGGTGAGGCAATGCCTCGCCCTGCTTCGGCTCGCGCACGGTGCGCGCACCCACTGGCCTGCGCCCACTGTCTGGCACTCCCCAGTGTGATGAACTCGGTACCTCAGATGTAAATGCAGAAATCACCCGTCTTCTGCATCGCTTACGCTGGGAGCTGTAGACTGGAGCTGTTCCTATTCGGCCATCTTGGCTCGAGAGTCAAGCACTTTGTTAAAGAGATAGTGTGACTCTAAAGTACAAGTTGGTTTCTTCACCAATTAAGAGTTCTTCCATTTGGGGGAGATGGACTGTATTTTTGTGATGCTGCCATTTGTTGCTCAGAAAACTTCTATTTTTATTAGAATTGCCTTGAGAGCCAATTTTTGAGCCATAAAACGTTTCATTCACTCACTCAACAAAAATGTATTGAAGGCTTACTTCTATCAGTTCTCTCTAGATGCCAGATATACTGCAGTGAGAAAGCTACATGGTTACTGAGCTCACAGAGCTTACAGTGTGGTGGGGGAGACATTAATGAAAACACACACGTGAAATACACAGGCCTCTGAAGAAAAATTATCATAAAGATAATAATTTAGATAGGAGGGAAATGGGCATTTAGGGGAGGCATCTCTGGTAATGCCAGAGAAAGGGTGAAGACCATGAGCCAAGGCCCTGGATTGAGCCACAACTTGGCACAACTCATTAATTTATAGGAATCTCTTCTTTTTGATCTCAAATGCTTTCACTCAACTGAATAAGCCATTTTAGCAATAATGCTTGCCTCTGGATTACTGCCAAAAGCTACCTTGATTAGCAGAGAGTGAAGATTTGTGACCACTGAGGATATTCGGAGTGTGTCACTGGCTCTGAAGATATTTCTAAAAGATTTTCAGTTATATTTTGAGCTGTAGCAACATCAAGGAAATAATTTTGTAACCTCCCTCCCAAGATGACTTTGAAGGAAACGTATTTATAAATTCTGATGTGTTTTTTCAGCCACATTATTTAATAACCGTTCTTGATGTAATGAGAAAAAGACTGTGCCTCTTTTCAGAGAAGCTCAGTCTACTGCTTTCTTTTCCTTCTTGAGAAAGTGAACACTGAGACAAAATAATCTCTGCAACAACGAAGGAAGTTCTGTTTGACTCAGTTGCTAATTCAATGGCTGAAAGAGATCAGAGACACAGTTTGATATGTGGGAACATTAGAAACTTTGAGGGGTTTGGGGTTAGATAAACATTGACCTTACCACTCACTAGCTCCTTGATCTTTGAAAAGTTACTGAGCCTCTTTGAGCCTTTGTTTGCTAATCTGCCCAATGGGATTAATACTACAAACCTCTTAGGGAGCACTGCAGATTAATCTATATAGAGCTTGAATCTAGTAGGAACTGAATAAACATGAGCTCATGCCTACCTTCCTCTTTCCAAACCCCTCATCCTTTTATCTGTTACCATAGATGTCAAACTCTATGAAATCCAGTCATTTAGCTTAAAGTACGTATGTTGTTTTCATGCTTTCCTTCCTGATGTTGTTTAAAGTTAATTTTTAGGAAAACATTTTAATGCATTGCATAAGATGGCAATGCTAGGGTTAGGGCTAAAGAAAGACAACATCCTTGAGTTTTTCTACAGGTAGATTTCATTTTTTATCTTAATGATAAGGCCAGAAAGTGCCAAGAGATGTTAAGTGTCCAGAAAGTTGGAAGTTTTGGTTTGGGTTAGGTAGAAGGTATACAATGAAAACATCTTATATAAAATATTTAATAAAGTCAGTTTGGTTCTCCACACACACAAAAATGACATACTGATGATTAAAAAGTGAAACATGGCCAGGGGCAGCAGTTTCACTCCTGTAATCCAAGCTACTTGGGAGGCTGAAGCAGGAAGGTTGCTTGAGGTCAGGTGTTCAAGACCAACCTGAGCAACATAGTGAGACCCCCCCAGTCTTTAAAAAAAAAAGTGAAGATTTAAAAATTAAAACATTGTTACAAGTGGGAAATACCAGAGGTAACATTAATGAAAATTAACTATTCTAATTTCAAATGAATCGTGGAATTAATAAATGTGTTCATATATGGTCTGCTTCAGCTAGAATATATCTCTCTTGTTTGCAACTCTGCGGTCATGAAGTCAACCCTTATGGCACTTATCATTGTCTACTTTGGTAAGTGCCACGTACCATTGTGTTTCTTGACATCAAGGACCATGTCTAATTTATCTTGGAGCCTACCATACAGAGTCCTGGTGCTGATGGTGAATTGCATTTGACAGTAACTAAAAAGATGGTGGGATATGGAGAGGTTAAGTAACTTGCCTGTTCTAATTTTGGGTGTTGTTTATGGGGGCAGCTATGTCCTTGAACTTGCTGTAATGCTGTCATAATGGGTACCCCAGGTGCTTATCTAAGGGTGGGCTGTCTGTTTTCAGCCCCATTAGAAGACAAAAAGATGAACTCCTGAGCAGAGCTGACACCATGTGACAATTGTGCCTCCTCTGTGTTTCACGTATCTGATTGTGATGTCACTGTTTTGATTAGCAGTTATTATATTTGGAAACTTAGCTTAGAATGGAGCACTCCTAGTCTGCTGTTTGTTAGTGCACATAGCTATTTAGAATCTTCAACTTTAAGAATCCGGTTTGATGCTTATTTACAACTGAAGATTCATAAGCAAATATACGTTATTGAACATTTGTATCCGTTGGCTCCTTAGAGTTGCTCCATCCATTTGTGATGCATGTTAATAGAGAGTGAAATAAAAATACTTGCATTTAAAGAGCTACATCTGTTTTGTGCATGAGTCATCTGAAGTTTGGACAGCTATTCTGATCAAATAAATAAATCTTCCTCCAGACAGGTGGCTTACTTGAATACGTCTAACTTATTTTCAGTTCCTTCTGGGAAATCTTACATTTAGCTGCAGTCTCTAAACTGTTTTATCTGCCAAGGATAAGCTGGCAATGGGAAGCTTTAATTAGAATTAATGGGGCTTGCCATGGAGAAATTTAGAAAATGTCTACTACCTTTTAGTGGCACAAATATGGCAAAAATTTAGGCATTGTCTAAGTCATCACTGAACAAACCTTATTACACGAACATATTTTTATGAGAATTCAGAATGTCTGAACTTAGAGTGTCTGAATTTAGATTGTCTTAAAAGAATGTACGTAGTTAAAATATTTAGTTGGTCTACTATTAGGGAAGATAAATTTTTTTCACTTCCCTCCTTTGGCATTATTTTCTTCCTATTCCATAGCAAATTAGCAAACTAAAATGTAAGTCAGGTGGTGGGGAGTGCTTTTAAAATTAGGATTTAACAGAAAGTAAGTATACATTTTGTCTGAGTGAAATTTGTCCTTCATATCTATCTGTTGCATGTCTGTTTGTCTAAACTGAAGGTATTTGTTAAAAGCATCACCATAATGAATAGTAATTCAGCCCTTTCCAGGCCTAGCAAAAGCATTTGCTCATGTAACATTAAAACATTGAAAAGAAAGAATGCATGCCTTTTGATGCTAATATGAACTTTAAGATTTCTGAATGGAAAAGTAAAATTTAGCTATAGTTTTATAATACATAAAAGTGCCTGAACACAAAACACTTGATTAATTCAAAATTTAAGAAATGTTGGCAATAGAAAAGAATTTTGCCTGTAAGTTTTCTGTGAAAAATTATGTAAAAGGCTTACAGGAAAATGTAAGGTGTAAACATGTAAGGGGAGCAGGAGAATTATATTGCAAAATTCACAGTGTAAAACTTCTCAATTAGTTTACAGGCAATGGTATTCAGTGATATTCATCATTGCCCCATGCCATTTGTCTAGAATTGTGTAAATTGCTACATAATACGATATTTTAATAATTTGAACGTATCTTATGATTTTGTAGTTTTGCATTTAGAGTCTCAATGAAGTGCTTCAAAAGTGGTAGAAGATACTACAGGGACTAAGAAAACTTTTATAAACACTGTGATGCTTTAACAAAAACTCAGTCATGTACCTGTAAATATCAGAACCCAGTAAGGGGAGCTAGCAGCTGTTGAGTGTATGCCTTGTCCAGGCAGTATGCATGCATCATCTTGGTTTGCGTCATCATCCTGTTTTATAAATGAGGACACCAAAAACAGGCAGGATGGTTAGCAAGAACATGGGTTGAGGTCAGATATGGCCCCAACCCTCTCTGTGCTGTTCATATGTAAGTGGGTGACTTTGGATAAGCTGTTGAACTGGGATTGCAGATGAATACACTGGTCAAGAGGAAGAGTTTTGGTTTACGATTCTTGACTAAGTTCTAGCTGTAGTAGTTATCAGTTCTGGGATCTGCATAAACTTCATCTGTAAAACAGGAATGATAACACTAACTCATATATTTGTTGTGAGAATTAAAGTATATAAAGAAGTTAACATGGTTTGTGGAAAACAGCAAGTGCTGATACATTGTCAGTGATAAAGATAATGCTGCTACTGCTGCTGCTGGTAGGGTTGGTAGGGTAGAACTCTTACAGAAACTGAGGCATGTCTAATTCCAGAGCACATGCTTTTCCCACTGACTCTGGTCCTGGAAAAGATCAGACAGAATGGTATGGAAATGTGCCTTGAATCACAAGCAGTTGTCGTTTTTGAAGTAGAAAAACTCTTTCCAAAAATATACAAATTATGGACCACTCTGCAGATGGAAATTAGAACCAAATGCATGGAAATTAGAGCCTACTAAGAGAGAAAAACAAGACAACAAATACATCCATACCTTGACCTCTGATAGCAGTAAGTGCTCTGAAGAAATGCAGCCTAAGTGATTAGATTTAACAGACAGGTGTGAGGGAAAGATGACTCTAGTTGCTTAAGCACCTGGGTGAATGGGGGATTTATTTCATGAAGGGGGGAATGCTGAAGGAGAAGTGAGTAGCCGAGGAATCAAGAGTATTGTCTTGGCTAGTACAATTTGAGATACCAGTTGTATATTTCAATGCAGATGTGGAATAAGAAGTCAGATGTGTGACAGTGGAGCTCAGAGGACAGGTTGGCATGACAGTGTTGATTTGGGAGTCATGAGATTGGAAAACATCCATGAGGAACCCCTCTATGGGGAGAAGAGAAGGAATCTGGGCTCTGGGGCATTCCAAAGTTTGGATATCAGGAAGCAAAGCTGAATCCAGAAAAAGAGACTGAACAGAGGCTTCCAATGATACAGAAGTAAAACCAAAAGAAAGTGGTTTCTGAAAGCCAGTGAAGGGAGTGTTTCAAGAAGGAGAAAGCCACTGTTTCCAATGCTGCGCTTAGTTTAGGTGAGATAGCAGAGACTTGATCATTGAATCTGCTTAGTAGAGGTAGTTGGAGAGCTTGACAAGAACAATTTCAGTGAATTTGTGGAGAGGAAAGCCTGCTTAGAATGGAGTTGAGGAGACAGTAGAGGCAAGAAAGTGGAAGTAAAAGGTATAGAGACATTGATTGATTGATTGATTGAGATGGAGTTTTGCTCTTGTTGCCCGGGCTGGAGTGCAATGGTGTGATCTCGGCTCACTGCAGACTCCACCTGCCAGGTTCAAGCAATTCTCCTGCCTCAGCCTCCTGAGTAGCTGGGATTACAGGCATGCACCACCACGCCCAGCTAATTTTGTATTTTTAGTAGAGACGGGGTTTCTCCATGTTGGTCAGGCTGGTCTCGAACTCCCGACCTCAGGTGATCCACCTGCCTTGGCCTCCCAAAGTGCTGGGATTACAGGTGTGAGCCACTATGCCCAGCCTGGTGTAGAGACTTTTAATTAGCTTTTCTATAAATCAGGGCAGGAGAATAAGATATGAACTGGAGAATGATATGGGTTTTTTAAAAGGTTGATTTTTCAGTTTTATTTTACTATGAATGATACTACATCAATGTTCTCTGCTGATGAAGAAGATCTAATAGATAGGGTAACTGACGTTGGGATTGAGGGAGAGATAATTATAGGAGCAATGTTCTCCATAGGCTTAAAGAGTATGATCAACATCCAACATAGAGAGGTTGATCTTTTCACATTTTGGATGGCAGATGATATGGGCCAAGATGCAGGGAGATTGCAGATTTGGTGGGAAGATGAATTAGTTCTCTTCTAATTGCTTCTGTTTCCTCAGTGAAATAAGAACTGAGGTCATTAGCAAGTGCAGTATGATGGATGAGTCATGTTAATTAACCATCATCTGCATAAACTGCATTCTTGGGCAGCAGGCTCTTGGGAGATCATTTCGCAATAGAATTTTGCTTTGTGGGCTATGTTCCCTGCCCTACTTTGGCCATAAGTGCTGTTCCTGTGTTCCTGCCATGTGATTCTTAGAGATAACAATTGACCATCAGTGAAGAGCCTACTTTATACCTTCATTTTTTCACTGGTAACTCTGAAAGAGTATATTTTATCAGATGGTAGTCTAAGAAGTAAAGCAGCAAAATCAATTTATATATATATATATAAATATAAATTCTATATATATAATTTTTATATATTATATATAATTTATATATATATTTATATAAAAAAAAATATATATATATATATATTTTTTTTTTTTTTTCTGGAGACACTCTTGCTCCATCCCCTTATCTCCCAGGCTGGAGTGCAGTGGCGTGATCTCAGCTCACTGCAACCTCCGCCTCCTGGGCTCAAGCGATTCTTTTGCCTCAGCCTCCTGAGTAGCTGGGATTACAGGCGCAAACCAACATGCCCATCTAATATTTGTATTTTTAATAGAGACAGGGTTTTGCCATGTTGGCCAGGCTGGTCTTGAACTCCTGACCTCAGGTGATCTGCCCACCTCGGCCTCCCAAAGTGCTGGGATTATAGGCATGAGCCACTGTTCCCAGCCACATTTTTATTTTTTCTTGTAGGCATATATGTTGTTCCAAACCCCTAACATAAACTATATGGATTGTTATAGAGTGTGTCAGAAGGTAATGGGAGGAAGCAACTGCACTATGAATTTACTCCCTGTCATAAAGAAATTATATTATAGAGCCTTTCATCCACCCAGAGATGTTGACATGACTCAGGCTGATTCTGAAATGATGGAAACAGGTTATGGTTAATAAACTCTTGTACTTTTTGCCAGAAAAGGTAATATTTCAAATTCTTTTCTAATGTTAGACCTTAATAGAAATAAATGCTTATTAGGTGAAAAACATCTAAAGGAAATATTTTTAAAAACCAAATTATATTTTTATTTAGTTCAGTAATCATTCATTGAGCACTTATAGTAAGCTAAACTATGGGAATAAACAGTTGCATAATTACGAATGATTCAATGACTTTGATCTTGAATTTGTTGCATACCTGCAGCTGTTCTACATTGTTTATTGGGTTGTATTTTGTCTTATTCCCGAAATGATTTTAGGAAACTTATGGAAGATACATTCAAAAATGTAAATAAATATAAATTATAAAATAGGAACTAAATAAAAATAAAAACATAATAATATGGGAAGTTAAGAATTAGAAGAGAAAATCAACACTAGGGGAAGAGCTAAAATATATATTAGTGACCGTAAAGGCTTAAACACTTGGTAAAGATTTGTTGCATATTTGATTCTGAGCTTCTTATCAGCCATACCGGAAAGAAAAATGCAGTCCGTTACATGATTCTTATTGTTCACAAGGGGGAAAAAAGGTCACTCAAGGGAAAAAATACTTGCACTGGCATCTATATAGTTTTTTACATGAGTTTTCCTATAGGGCATACCCAATGTGAATGGTGAAAAGTATTGATAGCCAATGTAATAATGCAACTTACAAAGTTACTTCTTGAAGCATCAGGACCCTGATATTATTTTGGTGATCAAGAAAAAGATCAGAATTAGAGATGAAAATTGTGTGTGCATGTGTATGTTTTGTTTTTTAAAACCAAAAGATTGAACTTTGGAAGTAAAAGAGACAGGCCATGGTAGAATTACCTAAGGACTTGGGGTAAAATCTTGGAGATGGCCTGCATTAAGGGTAACAGAAGAGAAGAATCTCATAAAGGTTGCTGAAATGAAACAAAGAAATGTTAGAGGAGGAACAAAATTCTGTAGTATCACAAAAGGCAAAGGTACCAATGAGTGTATTAAAAAAGAATCATCTAAGGATATGAAATGCGAAGAGACCACTTCACTGTTGGTATTACCAAGTAGAGTTTAATTAATGACTTTTTGAGAGTAGTTTCAATAGAACAAGAAAGGGCAACTTTCTTCACAGAATTGGAAAAAACCACTTTAAAGTTCATATGGAACCAAAAAAGAGCCTGCATTGCCAAGTCAATCCTAAGCCAAAAGAACAAAGCTGGAGGCATCACGCTACCTGACTTCAAACTATACTACAAGGCTACAGTAACCAAAACAGCATGGTACTGGTACCAAAACAGAGATATAGATCAACGGAACAGAACAGTGCCCTCAGAAATAATACCACACATCTACAACCATCTGATCTTTGACAAACCTGATGAAAGCAAGAAATGGGGAAAGGATTCCCTGTTTAACAAATGGTGCTGGGAAAACTGGCTAGCCATATGTAGAAAGCTGAAACTGGATCCCTTCCTTACATCTTATACAAAAATTAATTCAAGATGGATTAAAGACTTACATGTTAGACCTAAAACCATAAAAACCCTAGAAGAAAACCTAGGCAATACCTTTCAGGACATAGGCATGGGCAAGGACTTCATGTCTAAAACACCAAAAGCAATGGCAACAAAAGCCAAAATTGACAAATGGGATCTAATTAAACTAAAGAGCTTCTGCACAGCAAAAGAAACTACCATCAGAGTGAACAGCAACCTACAGAATGGGAGAAAATTTTTGCAATCTATTCATCTGACAAAGGGCTAATATCCAGAATCTACAATGAACTCCAACAAATTTACAAGAAAAAAACAAACAACCCCATCAACAAGTGGGCAAAGGATATGAACAGACACTTCTCAAAAGAAGACATTTATGCAGCTAAAAAACACATGAAGAAATGCTCATCATCACTGGCCATCAGAGAAATGCAAATCAAAACCACAGTGAGATATCATCTCACACCAGTTAGAATGGCAATCATTAAAAAGTCAGGAAACAACAGGTGCTGGAGAGGATGTGGAGAAATAGGAACACTTTTACACTGTTGGTGGGACCGTAAACTAGTTCAACCATTGTGGAAGACAGTGTGGCGATTCCTCAAGGATCTAGAACTAGAAATACCATTTGACCCAGCAATCCCATTACTGGGTATATACCCAAAGGATTATAAATCATGCTACTATAAAGACACATGCACACCTATGTTTATTGTGGCACTACTCACAATAGCAAAGACTTGGAACCAACCCAAATGTCCATCAATGATAGACTGGATTAAGAAAATGTGGCACATATACACCATTGAATACTATGCAGCCATAAAAAAGGATGAGTTCATGTCCTTTGTAGGGACATGGATGAAGCTGGAAACCATCATTCTCAGCAAACTATCGCAAGGACAAAAAAACCAAACACCACGTGTTCTCACTCATAGATGGGAATTGAACAATGAGAACACTTGGACATAAGAAGGGGAACATCACACACCGGGGCCTGTTGTGGGGTGGGGGAAGGAGGGAGGGAAAGCATTAGGAGATATACCTAATGTAAATGACGAGTTAATGGGTGCAGCACACCAACATGGCACATGTATACATATGTAACAAACCTGCACGTTGTGCACATGTACCCTAGAACTTAAATTATAATGTAGATATATATATATATATATATATATATATATATATATATATATATATACCAAAAAAAAACAACAAAAATAAAAAAGAAAGGGCAGGCTTAGAGAGTAAAGTGTCAGTAATGGGAAAGTGTGTATAGACCTCTTCTTTCAAGGAATGTAGAAGTGACGGAATTGTAGGTTGGTAGACTTGGGATAGAGGGATTGATTGGCAGGCAAGGAAGGGGAATAATAGTGTACAAGATCCCAGAGGAGGAGGGAGACCTGACATGTTCAACATAGATGGGGTTCAGAGAGGAAAGAGTCACCATTTTTGCTGAGCTACAAGGAAAAAACAAACAGAAATACCGAGAATCTTTGTGTTGGAAGGGAGGTGATATGTTTGGCTGTGTCTCTACCCAAACCTCATCTTGAATTGTAGTTCCCATAATCCCCATGCATCTTGGGAGGGACCTGATGGGAGGTAATTGAATCATGGAGGCAGTTACCTCCATGTTGTTCTCGTGATAGTCAGTGAGTTTTCATGAGATCTGATGGTTTAATAAGGGGCTCTCCCGCCGCACCACCCCACACCACCCTTCACTCTGCATATCTCCTTGCTGCCACCATGTTAAGAAGGACATGTTTGCTTTCCCTTCTGCCATGATTGTAAGTTTCCTGAGGCCTCCCAAACCATGCTGAATGGTGAATCCATTAAACCTCTTTCCTTTAGAAATTACCCAATCTCGGGTATGTCTTTATTAGCAATATGAGAATAGACTAATACAGGAGGGAAGCTATAGGAATTTGTATCAGATGGCTTCTGAAGTGGTTCAAGATTTTTGAGGTAATTTGCAAAGTGAGGTGAAATTATGTGTGGATAGGGAATCTATTTAAGTCATGACTTCAGGTCAAAATACAATGCTTAGAACATACCTTTTTGAGGTTATGTAGATACCATTTTCTGTCTTTAAATATGTCAGTTCTTTGCTTTCTTAGAAATAATTTAGCTTGCCTTGCTACCTTTACACCATCCAACTCCCACAGGTGTATTTCTTTCTCTTCTCCTTCCCTCCTTTCATTAAAAGGCCAAATGGATATATATGACAATGAAGTAAATGAGCTTTATACCAATAGGCTAAGTAATTTATGAATAGTACTTTTTAGAAAAGTGCTAGGAAAATGGTTCTTCACTATTTTCCTAAAACATTTATAGAAACTTGATGAATAATGAATGGGAATAATTTATAATAGCCACATACTTCACTCAAATAGAACACTTGTTTATACTCCTACACAGCAGTTACGTCATGGCTGTATTTTACATAAGGAGTCATATATTTTTAATGTAAATGTTGCTAGAATAGTTTCATTCAGTAGAGTTATAGAATCTTGGTGTCTTAAGAGATCTCAGAGGACAGGGTATCCCTGAGAGGCACTCAGCTAGACATTGCTTCACTTCTGCCTAAATTGTGCATTCCAGTGATCATGAGCCATGCTAAAATACAGCATAAATAAGTCATCAATAAGTTGAATAGCAAGGCTAGGATTGTGTCTACATCTTTGCTAATGAATATAATGCTAGACTTTTTATATATGCATAACAGATTTAATCAATGAAAATATGTAGAAACAAGTTTTATTTTACAGTTGAGTTTTGCAGTACAGTGGGAAGATTGCATTTTTAAAAGACAAAATAAGACTTAGCATTCAGAAAAAGTAGCTGGATCAAAGCAATTTCTAAGTAGAAACTCAAATTTCAGTCAGTATTTTAAATAGACACATCCTGACTCCCTTCACAGATTGCCACTGACCATATGGTAACTGCAGACATGCCTCAAAATAAAACAGCCATATGTAGATTTTCAAATACTGACCTCATCCCTAGAGAGCCATATTTATCTAGAAGAGCATCTCAAGCCATATCAAGTAGAATTATGATTTGTGTCATGTTCAAAGATTAGAAGAATCAGCCTAATGAAAAACAATCACAAGTTAAAAGCAAAATGCCAAGGAAAATAAGGTTAGATACCCACAGACATTTAAAAAGCAAAGGCATCTGGAGACGTATCTTTCGAATTCTCCTTGCCCAGTCCTTATACACAGTAGGAAAGCACATAAAAGTAGCATTAAAATCTATCCTGTGCTATGGCCATCAGAATGGATTTAGGGGAATGCTTAAGGGATGATCAATAGGAGTGCTTGGCATGCGTATTTCTTCTCAGACTAGCAGTCACTGGATGCAAATATTTTCTGTCTGCTGAATGTGCTAATGGAATACCAATATTATTTTTTTCTAATTTCTATTGTTAAAATTTCTAGAGCAGAACATGTGGAACTCACTTCTATGGTTTCCTGCTGTTAATCATTCTCTACTGAAATTCTGCCAGTTTTCCAGAACATTTAGCTTTGTGGGCATGTGTCTGTGAATTAAAAACATGGAAGAAGGAACAGAATTGTTGCAGGAATTTGGAACAAATCTATTTATATATTCAGTGGTACCTCACTTCCCTTATCAAAATCGGGGTGGAGAAGGGCCAGAAAAGGGGATTCAGGAAGTAAAGGTCTACAAGTAATAAGAAGATTCTGTAATGATGATCATTGTAACTACAAAACCTCTCTCTCTCACGCTGTATTTATGTATTTATACATATACATACTTCTCTCTCTCTCTACACACACATACCCCACCTCTCTCTCTCTCTATATATATATATACACACACACATCTCTACATACATATGCATACATATTTTATATTTATATATGTGTGTGTATCATATATATATGTATATATATATGAAAAAAAGATTTTAATGACCTCCTTATGGACAGTCAAGCCCCGCATCCCATAGGTGTAGTATTATGCTAGCAGATTTCTCATGTCCAAGTTTTGTTTAAATCTGAGCACTCAGGGATATGCCAGTTGCCTAAAATTAATAATGTTAATCATTCCTAAATGTTCTTTAAGAGCTTTAGTTTTTCCTTTGCATTCCTTTTAATGTAGCAGTATTTCATTGGATTTGGTTCAGTGATTGTGTTTCAGACATAGTGATATATCATAGGTTTGCCTTCAAATCAAATACAGTTATGATCCTGAAGGAAATTACCCTTATAGGCCAAACTCTGAAAATTGTACTCTATCCTAAAAGGTCACTGAAATTTCTGAACTAATCTTTATAATACATGAATAAACCTAAACATTGTTTTTTACAAAGCAAGGCCCCTCACTAGTGTATGTCACTGGATATATAAGTAGACATCTGTGAAATTTATTTTTGAAGTATTATTTTGGTTTCTTGGTACGTAAATTGGATTACTTTATTCTAAGCCAGGTTTGTAAGTAGTTTTTAAAAGTCATTTGAACCCATTCAGATTACTCAGGCTCTTTCACTGTGTTATCTCATTTTGTACTCTTCAGTTTTGCTAAATGTAACAAGAGGAGACTTTAACAGAAAACCTTAAAATGTTTTCTGCAATAAAAAGATCAGTTCTTCATAGAAATCCAATAGCATTGTAAAATTAAAACTAATGTTCCAGCATAATAATGTCCATAAACTTGCTTTTCAATATTAATTCATTTTTGGTATTGATCTCATAAGGGAGTGTTTAGTTACCAACTGCTTTAGGCCATGAAATGTTTTGGGGCAAAGAAAATTGAAGGGATTGTTTTGGTATTATGTTGCTCTTAACAGATTTTTCAGGAATACATAGAACTGTGTTAGTTAGCTGACATCTTTTCTGTTATTTAAGTTGTATTTAATTGGGAAATATTATATCTTGTCATTTGTATCTGATTGTTTTATTGGAGAGGTTTTTTTCCTGAAAATTTGTAAAATAAGACAAGAAGACTAAATGGCTTATCTAATAATTTTTTTCCCTATAGAAATCTAGATTTTGATTCATACTTAATGTGTAGATCAGCCTTTCCACTAAGGTTCTCAAAGGTGGCTGGCCTTCTTTACTAACTGAAAGCAGGTTCAGCAGCCTCTTATAGCTTTCATGGAAAGAGTTTAATTGACCAAGATAGACTGTGTGTTCGTCAGCCTTAAGAAGAGAGATTTGTTTTATTTATATGCTATGACATAGGATATGATGGGATTGTCTTTATGAGAAAAATAGATCCTAAGATCCAGCATTCACCTTGTGACCTCCAGGACCCTGTGCACCAACCCTCTTGCATATGGTGACCAAATTCATGTATGCATCTTCCTTGTAGGCTCTGTCAGTTATGTTCCCGACATGGTAAAGATAGTTTTAAATCTCAAGTGTCCTAGCATAGCTAAACAAATGGAAGATATGGTTATATGTCCTCCTCCTTTTCCCATAGCATTTACATTCTTCCATAACCATTTATGCTTCTTATCTATTTTAGGAATGGCACCTTTATAAGTAAGTGAAAGATGAGAGACTGGAAAGTCCATACTTTGAATTAACTCTTCTCTTCCATGAACGTAATGCTTTACTTCCTACCACATTTTGGAGAACTTAGCACTACCCTTTTTTATAGAACATCTTTACTCTCTCTTTATTTAATGACTACCACTGGTATTTTTTAATATGTAAATTCAATAGTTTTTCTTTTTCCTTTTTTAGTGGTACAGGTAATAGAAGAATAGAAAAAGAGAGTTGAGGGAGGGACAAGAACTACTTTGAAATTAGAGAATACATTTACAGCCTCATATGTTCAGTTCATTTTTATATATATAGTTCTGGGATATTTTTGGAATAATTATGATTTTCTGAGAATCATGCTGACAGAAAACATCGTCTCTTTCTTTTAAGATGTTACATTTCAAGGTACCCCCTTATGTTTGCAGTAGTCATACTTCCGGAATCTGGGGGACAATTTCAATTTTTTTAAAAGATACTCTGCCCCAACATAAGATCATGGGCCATTGAATTCAGGCTGAGTTTTATTTTTTGATAGCTTTATTCATGATTACTGTTATATATAAAGCCAAATATAGCATGAATCATACATGGTTAGCTTTTCACTCTAATTCTCATTAGTACTTATTTGTTGAATGTCTGAATCTAAAAAGGGAATGTGCTAATAGAATATTACTCAATATCCATATAAAACTTAAATATCTATACAAATACAGTTTCTTTAACCAAGCAAATGATTAATGTTTAGGAGCATAGTTCATCTCAAAATGCTCTGCTCTGATAGAGATTCAAGAATACTTGATTTCTTGGGAGCCTACATGTGATCTAAAATGAAGGCAGGGGAATGGAATAATTCTGATTTAAATGTAGTTGTAAGAATAGTTTGGCAGTACATATCTTGATTGAACTTGATAGAACTGTCATTTATTATGGGAGCCTGTTGTCTAGGTCTTACTCATTTATGCCTAGTGTATTGTTAGTAATCTGTGTAGGAGTGTTAAATATAAAGGAAAGAAATTATAAGTATAGAATGCATTTATTCTTTATGTTAATGAATCTATTTGAAATATTTTGTGGAATCTTAAATGTGAAGGGTAATTGTTTATTTGATTACAGAGAAGGAAAACCTATACAATTTATTGGCTATTTTTTTTTTTTTTTTTTTGAGACGGAGTCTCGCTCTGTCGCCCAGGCTGGAGTGCAGTGCCGTGATCTCGGCTCACTGCAAGCTCCACCTCCTGGATTCACGCCATTCTCCTGCCTCAGCCTCCCAAGTAGCTGGGACTACAGGCGCCCGCCACCATGCCCGGCTAATTTTTTTGTATTTTTAGTAGAGACGGGTTTTCACCGTGTTAGCCAGGATGGTCTCGATCTCCTGACCTCGTGATCCGCCTGCCTCAGCCTCCCAAAGTGCTGGGATTACAGGCGTGAGCTATTGGCTATTTTTAATGTAAAACTTTGAAATTGTATTCAGCTATGGAGAAATTCTACTAGAGAGCTTATGGATGAAATCATAGCATCAGTAGTTGAATTAATGTGGGATATATTTCTCATGCATTTCCACCTTTAATTATGAAAACACCTGGAGCTCAGGGAAGGTAAGGAACCTGCACAACATCACACAGCTTCTAAATGGCCAAGATAGAGTCAAACCTGAGTTTCCCTGATTTGGAGAAATTGTACTATTCAACACTGATTATGGTTGTATAGTCTTTAGCAGATGCAAGTCATATATATTCTTTTTTTCCTTGCATATAATATCTATTGAAAAACCGGGTAGGTGAGAAAACTTTATTATATCACTAAGAATGACAGCATATTGTGAAAATACTGTCAGAATACCATCAGTCAAGTGTGTCTGTCCTTTCATTTAAAAGTGGCTTTGTCTAATGGCAGGCAGCATGGCACAATAAGTAGCCATGAGGAGTTCAGGCAGAGATGCATAAATGGGTGACTGTGAGTATTCTAAGAAATCTACTGGACATGATTTTTTTGTCTCTATATGGGATCTGGAAATTCTGCCAGAGAGGCATTTGAGTGATGCCTTCAAGAGTAACCCATGGCTGGGCATGGTGGCTCACGCCTGTAATCCCAGCACACTGGGAGGCCAAGGTGGGCGTATCACCTGAGGTTAGGAGTTTGAAGCCAGCCTGGCCAACATGGTGAAACCCTGTCTCTACTAAAAATACAAAAATTAGCTGGGCATGGTGGTGTGCGCCTGTAATCCCAGCTACTCAGGAGGCTGAGGCAAGAGAATCACTTGAACCGGGAGGCAGAGGCCATAGTGAGCTGAAATCATGCCACTGCACTCCAGCCTGGGTAATCCATAGGGCTTTTCTCAGGAATGCGAAGGTGGTTTGATGTTACAAAGCTATTATTGTGACTTACTGTGTAACGCTCATCTCCATAGAGGGAGAAAAGGCATTTGATAAAATTCATTGCTTTTTTAATTAAGTAAACACCCCATATTTATGGGGTATATGTGATATTTTGGTACATGTATTAAAGTTCATTGTTTTTTCTCCTTGGGAGGTTGAGGTGGGAGGATTGCTTGAGCCCAGGAGTTTTGAAGTTACAGTGAGCTGTGATTGTGCCGCAGCTTTCCAGCTTAGGTGACAGAGTGAGACTCTGTCTCATAAAAAGAAAAGAAAGGCCGAGTGTGGCGGCTCACACCTGTAATCACAGCGCTTTGGGAGGGTGAGGCAGGAGGATTGCTTGAGCCCAGGAGTTTGAGACCAGCCTGGGCAACATGAAACCTTGCCTCTAAAAAAAAAATTTTTTTTTAATTAGCCAGATGTGATGGCATGTGCCTGTGGTCTCAACTACTCGGGAGGTTGAGGCGAGAGGATTGCTCGAGTCCAGAAGTTTAAGGCTGTGGTGAACCATGATCATACCAGTGCACTCTAGTCTGGGGCACAGAGTGAGACCCTGTCATAAACAAAAAAATTATTGCTTATTGATAAAAGGTTAGTAAACCAGGAATAAAAGGGAACTTCCTAAATCTGTTTAAGGATACGTATCAGAAGCTTTCATCAAGGATATTACTGATGAAACTTTGGAAGCATTCTCTTTAGTCCAGGCGTGGTGGCTCATGCCTGTAATCCCAGCACTTTGGGAGGCTGAGGCAGGTAGATCACTTGAGGTCAGGAATTCAAGACCAGCCTGGCAAACATGGTGAAACCCCATCTCTACCAAAATTATAAAAAATAAGCTGGGCGTGGTGGCGTGCACCTGTAGTTCCAGCTAGTTGGGAGGCTGAGGCAGGAGAATTGCTTGAACCCAAGAGGCAGAGGTTGCAGTGAGCCAAGATCATGCCACTGCACTCCAGCCTGATGACAGAGCGAGACTCCGTCTCAAAGTAAAAAAAAAAAAAAGAAAAAAACATTCTCTTTAAAATCATGCAAGGGCCAGGCACAATGGCTCACGCCTGTAATCCCAGCATTTTGGAAGGCCAAGACGAGTGGATCACTGAAGGTCGGGAGTTCGAGACCAGCATGGCCAACGTGGTGAAACCCCATCTCTACCAAAATACAAAATTTTGCCAGCTGTGGTGGCGAGCGCCTGTAATCTCAGCCACTCGAGAGGTCGAGAAAGGAGAATCGGTTGCACCTGGGAGACTGAGGTTGCAGTGAGCCAAAATCACGCCACTGCACTCCAGCCTGGGTGACACAGTAAGACTCTGTCTTGAAAAAAAAAAAAAAAAAAAAGAATGAGACAGGAAACCATTTTTCACCATTTAATAAACGTTGTACTGAAAATACTAGCCAATATTAGGCCGGGCGCGGTGGCTCACGCCTGTAATCCCAACACTTTGGAGGTTGAGGTGGGTGGATTACTTGAGGTCAGGAGTTCGAGACCAGCCTGGCCAACATGGTGAAACCCTGTCTCTACTAGAAATAAAAAAATTAGCCAGGCATGGTCATGCGTGCCTGTAATCCCAGCTACTCAGGAGGCCGAGGCAGGAGAATTGCTGGAACCTGAAGGCAGAGGTTGCAGTGAGCTGAGATCACGCTGCTGCACTGCAGCTTAGACAATAGAACGAGTCTTCATCTCCAAGAAAATACTAGCCAACATTATAAAGGAATAAATAAAGCTGTCATTGTTTGCGGAAGTCTATGTAGAAAACTCAAGAGAATGTGCAGAAAATCTTTTAGAATTAATAGAGTTCACCAAAATTGGTGGATATAAAATTAACATACAAGTGCAGCATCAAAGAGGAAATGTAATGTTAAAAAAGATACCAATGATAATAGAAACCAAAATGTCAGGTACTGCGGAATCAATATTATGAAATATGCATATAACTTTAGAGAAAAGTAACTGATATTTTAGCAGACCCCAATAAAGATATATTTACATATAGGAAAAAAAAGTGGCCCTGTCTATAGACAATGCTAACAATATAGCTATTTAAGAAAATCATATGGACACGGGGAGGGGAACAACACACACTGGGGCCTGTCTGGGGGCCAGGTGAAGGGAGAGCATCAGGATAAATAGCTAATGCATCTGGGACTTAATGCCTAGGTGATGGGTTGGTTGGTAGATGCAGCAAACCACCATGGCATGCATTTACCTGTGTAACAAACCTGCACATACTGCATGTGTATCCTGGAACTTAAAGTAAAATAAAATTTTTTTAAAAAGAAAATTATTTATTTAGAAAGGATACTTCCTCTTTTTAAATAAAAGTTTTCTAGAACAGTAATTCTTCGTAATTTTTTCCTCAGCAACATACCACACTCCCATGACTGTTAAGAAGTTTGAAATTCGTTCAGTTGAGAATTGCTGAGGAATGCATTTTATGTCTGCTTCATTTATGTAGATACTTTTGACAAAGAAAATATTTTAGAATTTAGAAAGAATTCTTGATAGTAACAGAAATTGGTTTTTGAAAACAGTATTTTAGTGGTATTAAGACCTATAATCATCTCCTCTTCTAAGTTGATAAAAACCTTTACATTAGCAACCTGGAATAATAATGACCAGATTAACACAGTCATTGCATACCGGCCCTAATGTACCATGATCAGCTTACAAGCACGCATCTATAGACAACTGGCCCATCACAACATCTTGGCAAATTGATTGCCTTGGAGGATTTTGGAATGTATTGGCATAAATGCCAGACTGTGAAAGAATGATTGAACCACATGGGGTTGAATTCATCAATAGCAGCAGTCCATTCTTTCAAGCAGAACATGTGCCAAGCACCAGCTTGTAATCACAAACATCATCTGCTGCATATTGAAGAGGAAAACAGCGTGGGTGTGCTCAGGATCTTGGTGGTAGTTTCTAATTAATCACAACATTGTTTAGCAACTTGGAGTATACTCAAATTGCTTCATCCATGAGTTCTCAATCCCCATACTTGCTCTGGTGTTTCTCTTTTTTTCTCTTCTTTCCTTCTTTTATTCCTTATATTCATCAAGGAAATATTTACTGAATGTCCTCTATTTACATGATCCTGAACTAAGCACAATGGGAAGTAAAATGATAAAATGAGCAAAGCCTGAACTACACACCCGACATAATCCAGCACAGAGATCATAATTCACTATGGAACAGAGATCAGGGACCTAGTCCCCAAAACAAATTAGCCAGGAGTGAGAGCCTGGTCCAGTCCTTCAGAATTGCAAGGATGGGATCCCAAGCAGAAGGAACATTGTAAGAGACAAAATTGTAACAATATGGGACTTCTTTGAGTAAAACAGATTACCCAAAAATTGCTGAAGCATTGCCTATTAGAGGAGAAGTAGTATGAAACAAATCTTCTCAGGTGGGCTGGGGCAGGAGTGTCCCCTTCATGAAACAGGCCCTGATGGTTCTGTTATCAATGGTTTTGAACAAGTAAGTGGAGGATTCAGTGGGGTGCTTTAGCCAACAGGTGGCAGCAATGTGGAGGCGGGATGGATTGGATTCGGTAGAGACTGGGGATGTTGAGACCACATATTAGGCTTCTTATTGAACACATGAATAGTATGTGCCAGGAACCTTATTATCTCTAATCCTCAAATGGATAGTACTACTCTTAAATCCATTTTACTGAAGGGGCGATGGAGACTTACAGAATCTCACAGTGGCTACATTGTAGGACTGGTATGTTAACACTGGTCTGTGTGAACACTTTCCACAGCCGTGCACTGTCCCACTGGGAGATGGATGCCAGCCAGACAGGCAGTAGAAAGGTGGGGAGGCAGAGAGGTACAGGTGCAGAACAGAAGAAATCTTTCCAATGTTTTGTGGAAAGAAGTTAGGCATACATACATTAATTCTGATTAAAACTTGGCAATGTATTAGATTCAGGATATATGAAGAGAGAAGGAGCACTCAAAAGCCATGAATCTTGATTTACTTTGAAATTAGATAACATGGGGTAAAAAACAAGTTTGGGGTGAGAAATGAGGACTTCTGTTTTGTATGTACCTGAGTGGCATACCTCTTGTGGGTCCTTCCTTATGCCTTAATCTCATAATACTGTATATGTACCTCTGTTAGAGCACTTACACCATTGTGGCATAGCTTGTTTTGTTTTGGTGGATGACCCCATCCTGGTATTATGAGCTCCTCAGGGGCTGGGCCTCCTCACGTTTCTGTCCCTAGCATGGAGTAGGCTCATGGGAAGCGCTTCAGGTATGATAAGGAACTAGGGGATTCTTGGCCAGAGAGACAGGAGAAATCAATGGAAGTCCAAGGAGGAGGAATGCTTAAAGTGAATGTTGTGAGAACATGATTGGGAGCCAGTTAGAGATGAGTGAAAGGCTCCCCTGATAGCACGCAGGACCTGACATGCTGAATTTGTCCCAAAATGAGTGTGGCTCGTTTTTGTAATTATTCTCAAACAATGCTCAACTCCCTGGATGTGGGAATGGAGAACTCCCTGGATGTGGGAATGAAATGAGTGGCTTGAAGTAGATAAATCTGGAACTGAGGCTGGATAGAGTGGCAGGTGGGACCATGAAAATGATGAAGAAAATGAAATGGAGGAATTGCAGTCGTAAGGAGCACAGAGTATGTTTGTTACTATAGCTTGGAAGTGTTTCAGTTTTGTTTTGTGTTACTTCTACTGTTCATAAGTTGTTGATTTTTTATGCTAAGAAAAATAAGCTTATTTAAGTGGGCATACAAAATATCTTGGCATTTGTGGCATGAACAAGATGTCGGCCCAAGTTCTCTCTCTAAACACTTACTAGTTTGTGACCTTGGAAGAGTTATCTAATCCTTCTGTGTTTAGTTTCCTCTTTTCTAAGATGGGGGTAGCAACACTTGGTCTCTCTGACTTCACAGGACTCTGATGATGATAGGAAATTGTTCATAAGGCAGGAAGGGTTATTGAAGTATTAGATAATCCATTGAGATTTGAGCAAATGCTTAATACTCTTGGTGATTGTGTGAGAATGGCCGCCTCTGGTTGCATTCAGGAAAGGATCGTGGTGTTGGGGGATCTTGCTGTGCTTGATTGTAGCCCAATTATAGGGCCCTAAATTGAGGAGTGGGGAGAATAATATTTGAAGCTGAGCAGTGATTATCTTGCTCCCAGTGAGGCCCCTGCTTTCTCCACAGGGGCATCTTTACTTTATCAGCAGTGGGGAAGCCTCCTACAGTTTGCATCTTGTAATCCATTAGTCACAAAGTGTTCCACTTTTTCCTCCTTAACTTTAATATTAATACAAGGTAAAACTCATAAATAAATAAAACAAAAAGAAAGGGAAGAATAAGAGCAAGAAAAACCTTGAAGAGGTGTTAAGGGGGCTTCATCATTGGCAGTTCTCTTTCAGCAGTCTCACAGCAGACTTCATTACTTCAGTTTGATCAAACATTGTTGTTTCTAATAACCCCCTTGTGTTCTTACTTAAGGGAATATCATGCTCTTTGAATATTGAATTTTTTTTCTTATCCAGTTCACCATGTCAGCCTTCCTGACATCTAAAGTCTCTAGATTATTGGTGAAGCTTTTTCTTACTTTTGTTGTTGATTTTTAGCAGCTCTATTGAGGAATAATTTACATACAATAAAAAGCATGTATTTAAAGCATATAATTTGAGACGCTGGCATATGTGAACACCATGAAACCATTACCACAACCATGCAAGTGAACATATTGCTGCCTCCCCAGAACTTCCCTTGGTGCCCCTTTGTAATTCCTCCCTCCACAGGCAACCATTGATCTGCTTTCTGTCAAGTTATTTGGACTTAGAGTTTTCTTTGGGGGAACGTTTTTAACAAATTCAGTATTTTTAATAGCTTATAGGGCTGGCTACTCAGGCTATTTCTTCTTGAGTGAGTTTGGAAGATTGTATCTTTTAGGGAATTTGTCTGTTGCATTGAAGATGCTGAATTTAATGGCATAAAGTTGTTCATGATACTCTTATTATTTTAATATCTGTCCTGAGTTCACCTCATTTACTCCTGATATTGGTCATTTGTGTTTCTGGCTTTTTCCTGGATAGTCTGTGCATTTGTTTTCTGTGGTTACTATAATAGATTACTACAAATTTGGTAGCTTAACGCAGTAGACATTTATTTTCTCACAGTTGTGGTGGCCAGGTGTCCACTCCTGTCCCACACCCCCTCCAGAGTCCGTAGAGGACAACCTCTTCCTTCCTTTTTCCAGCTTCTGGGGGCACCTGTCATTCCTTGGCTTTTGGCTGCGTAGGTCCAATCTCTGCATTTGTCTTCTCTGCTTTTGTCTCGAATCTTCCTCAGCCTCCTCCTGATAAGGATACATGTGATTGCATTTAGGGAAAACCTGGATGATCTAGGATTGTCTTCCGATCGCAAAATTTTTAACTTAATTATACCTACAAAGTTTATTTTTGACATCTAAGATAATACAGGTTTCAGGGATTAGGATGTGAATATGTTTTGAGGGGCCCTTATTTAGCCTACCATAGCTTGGCATGAAGCTTATCAATTTTATTGGTCTTAAAAAAACAATTTTGGTTTTATGGATTTTTCTCAACTCTCTTCTTTTCTACTTCATGGATTTCCATTTTGATCTTTAGTAATACTTTTAGCGTGTGCATACTTTGGGTTTCACTCGTCTGTCTTTTTCTGGTTTCTTAAGGTTGAAGGTTTCCTAAGAGATTTCTTGCAGTAATTTTACCTGTTACACTTTAGCTCCATTCCACAAATTTTTATAGGCTATGTGTTTAGATTCTTTCAGCTTTATATTCTTACTAATTTTCATAGAAATGTGTTATTTAGTTTCCAATTTGGGGGATGTTTTCCAGTTGTCTTTCAGTTACTGATTTCTATGTTAATTTCATTATGGTCAGGATATTCTTAATATGACTTGAATCCTTTTAAATGAGTTGAGACTAGTTTAGAGCTCAGAATATAATCTACCTCAGGTAAATATTCTAAGACATTGACCATACAATTTAAGAATGCATATCCTGCTCTTATTTGGTGGAATGTGGTTTAAATGTCACTTATTAGGTCAAGTTTGTTGATAGTGTTCTTGGAGTCTTCTATATCCTTGGTGAATTTCAGGATACTTGTTCTGTCGGTTACTGAGAGTGATGAAATATGAGAGTACAATTGTAGGTTTTTCAATTTCCCTTTTCTGTTGTGTCAGTTTTTCTTTCAAGTATTAATATTTTGAAGCTCTCAGTAAGTGCATACACGTTTAGGATTGTTATATTCTCTTGATGAATTGGTCCCGTTATCTTTACAAATTGTATTTTCCTGCCTTTGTGCATTCTTAGTTATTTTTTATTTTATGTCCACATTATAAAATTTTATCTCATTGAGTTTTGTTCTCGGATACCATTAAGCTGCTTAGAAGCAGTTGAGTCTTGCTTTTATGCTGTTTTAGATGGCATTCAAGTAATGTTTAATCTAGGACTAAACTTACACCATTATTAAGGTATATCCCTTCTAAATACTCTTTTGTATGCTTCAGATTTTTCACTCTGGTTCGTAGGAACAGGCACTATCCCCAGCCCTGTTTGAGCTCCTGGAATTGATTTCTCTAACCCTTTCCAGTAGCTCTTTCCCCTGTCTTGGGTTGTTTCCTCACACACCTACACTGATCAGTACTCAACTGAATACTCAAGGGAAATTCTGAAGATCTCCAGATTCTCCTCCTCCCTCTCTGAATCTATCCTCCCTGGGTCCTCTGCCATCTGAATTCTAGCCCCCTTGGCATCTCTGTATTCTGAGCTGCATCTTTTCAACTCAAGGAAACACCAATGTCTGCCTGGTTTACCTGCCCTGTGCTGCAGCCTGGAAACTTTTTTGAGATATTGAGCTGGGGACAGTTACAGGGTTCGCCTCATTTGTTTCCCAAATCTCAGGTATCACTTTGCTTCATTGCCTGTTATCCGCTAGCATGAGAACTGTTGTTTCATGCATTTTTGCATGGCTTTCTAGTTGATTCATGTAGAAAGGGAAAGCTGATAGCCATTATTCTGTCTTAGCTGGAAATGAAAGTCAAGAGCTGGAATTTTATACAAACTGGCTTTTAGTGCATTTTTAATCATACTTAGAAAACCTTCTGTAGGCTAGGTTCACAGACAACCTATCATCCACAAAAGTGGCTGCCCTTGTGGGACTCTTTTTCATCCCTGCTGCTGGAGCCTCTGCCACCTGGACAACCTTATGCAAGTTACTTAGCAACTTGGTAGTATGAGGTGTTCAGAGTGAAGGAAGAGGGATGAGCTCATTTTGGGATCTTGAATCTACTGCTTTACTATGGGTTATATTTTAGGTCTTTTATTTCTAATCTAGTTGGTTAAAGGTTTTAGTTTTTATAATGTGAGAATTTCTGTGTTTGAAAGATAAACATTTAAAATAAAATTAAATGTGAAATGTTTGTATGCACAAAACATTTTTAATTACAAAAGCAAAAGAAATGTTTTAAGTAGAGCATGACATTTTAAATGTTCACTTATGAACATTCAGCCAATTAATGTACTTGATTTTTTTCTTCTGCCTCATAGATTCTGTGATATAAAGATTAATGATGGTTTTCATTTGTAAAGGAAGTTTTACTGCCTAATAAAGCTAGGTTCATAATTTTAATGAAAGGAAATTCTTTAATTTTGTTTATGCATAATCAGATGTGCAGCTGCTGGGACCAAAATTTATCCATTAAAAAATGCAGTCTAATAAAGGAACTACCATCATTTATTTTTAACAGGAAATCCAAATCAAGAGAAAATATAAAATCCAGATTTTAAAAAACTAGGAAATATGTGATGTTTATGCAATAGCTTATCTCTTGTTTTTATGGCAAGTCAAACTTTGGTCCTAATTTGTCATAATGTTCTGTATTTCTGTTCTCCAAAATCATTATTACCTAGCCTGACCATCAAATCATGATACAGTTTAATAGTGAAAGTAGATGCATCTTTCCAAAGATTATAATAGACTTCTTGCATTAGGAAAAACTAATTTCTCATCTGAGAAAGGGCTTTTGTTTGTTTTTGTTTTGTTGTCTTTTTTTAAAAAAAAAATCATGATATACAAGGTAAATGTTATTATTTTTATTTGAAAGTTTTGATTAAAGGAAAGGTAGTGCCTTGCTTATTTTGTGGGTCACTTGCAGGTATCTGTATTTGCAGATGAGCCTGCCTATCTTTCAGGTTGCTGATCCAGATATATTTCAGCATTGTTACAATCAAACTCTCAAAATTCACCTGTTTCACACAGTCTTTCTGATATATTAGGCTTTAATACTGCTTTGCTCGAATCTAAGGCAATTTGACATTTATAATACCCTCAGTCTGCTTTCTAAATGGATCGTCACTACATTTAGCTTTGAATGACCATCAACGCTTCTCTAAATTAATCTATTCCCTCTCTTGCCATTTAGAAACAAAATCATTTGCAATAACTCAAGTTTTATGATTATACTTATATCCATGTAGGAATAGAATATTCTCACCCCTATAATATTTCATTCTAATTAATGCCCTGGCTTGACGTCCCATACTAACTTTTATTGCTGAGACAACATACATATTGTATTCCATTTTTGTGAATTTGAATATTAGATTTTCAAAAGATCCTGAAATAGTTAGACTTCTTTGGATTTTAATTTACCGGACTTGGTTTAGAGTTCATTAACAAAACTTGGACTCTAATTAAGCAGTTAGCATTGCAGTGATCCCAGGCCATCTCTTCTAACAGCGGGAATACCATAGGTCCTGGGAGTTGACTCTAGCTCCATTAAGGACACCATATAGAATGCCTCTTAAAGCTAAGGTGACATTGTAACTGAAACACTTATGAGGCTGGAAGGGCCACATTTAGTAATTATGCCCTGACAACAGGCATCAATAAGGTTAGTCAACCTACTTAAGGACTCAGTGGTTCAGATTTACAGCTTTCCAGAACTGATCCAGAGTTCAGATAAAGACCAAAGTATCTCTGCCATTTTGAAAGTTCATTTGTATTTTAAAATAATCATTGATTGCCTCTTAAGGGACTATTCAAAATTTAGAAATACACACACACACACACGTACACACACATACACACATCTATAGATAATAGGTATTAATTGTTTTTCTTTATTAACTTTTTGGTAACTTTTATTAATAATCTCCATTGTAGCTATAACCAAGGCTGACATCATGCCCAAATTCTGTAACTTTAGTAAAATAACATGAATTTTGTTCTTTAATTCTTCTTAATGAATGCTTTTCTTACGGTTGATTAAAGCAATTTTGCCAGTGACTTTTAAGTAGTCCCACATGGATGGATTTTAAATAATACTTAATTGACAAGAAAGTTGAAGAACAAAGGAAGTGGTTAATCTCTAGAGCTTGTAGGGATTTAAGGAAGACTAATTTGACAGTTTTAGTTATATAGGTCTTCTAGTACCCATAAATTGCTTAAACTTAAATTATCTCTTGTCGCTTTTACAGTTCAAACTAAAAACAAAAACAAAAACACTATCTGTTTGCAAAATAAAATATTGTACCCAGATTTCTGTAAAAATAGAGTTGTTCTGATTTAAAATGCCCAGTCATGTTGATTTCATGAAGATTTAGGAAAATTTGTCCTATTGGGAATAATTACTATGAGAGCTAAAAATAATAGTTGTATTTTTTTTTTCTTTCTTTCTTAAAAAAGCTGGACCTGTGATCTGCAGAATGCTGAGTTATCCCCCAACTCGCCGAGCTTTAATTGTGGGTTGTGGCCTACAAATGTTCCAGCAGCTCTCAGGCATTAACACCATCATGTATGTATTTCTTTCTGGCTTTTTACTGAAAAGATTGTGAAAGGATTATTTTATGTGAAATAGTGAAAAGTATTTCATGTAAATACTAGACTCAGTGATTTGTTCTGATTAAATGTATGAATTCTCCTTTTGGGAGATACTGACTTTACAATTTTTTAATTCCAGTAATTTGTTACTAGATAAAGGTGATTTATTTTGTTTGTTATATGATTGGCTTTATTTGATTCCATAAAATTTCTCTTTTACGCCATCCAATACCTCCTTGTATTCTGAGCTTAAATGTGTCATTTTTTCTAAGCCATTTCTTGATGCTGGTTGGAAAGCAAAATAGAAGGAAATCACCTGGCATTGCCAGAGATTATGGGCACACAGATAACTAATTCATTTCTTTTTGGTGCAGTCTACTACAGTGCAATGTGATAAGGACATTAGTAGAAGTACGTTTATTATAACCAGAGTATGGTAGAGGGGAGATTGAGTGGGAAGGAGAGTGAGGAATACAGAAAAATTCCCTGTTCTCTAATTTTAAGAGTAATTCCCAAAGCTGTATGTGTGCTGAGGGTGGGAAGGACTAAATATTAAGGGCTCTACTAGGTTTCCCTCATTCAGTATTAAACCCATTTTTGAGGGCCTCTGTTGCACTAGACCTACAGCAGTAACTAAAATAGACCTGGGTCTTGTCCTCATGGATGTACAGGCTGGTAGAGGAAGCACACATTAAATAAACTCACAGTTAAATATAAGATTTCAAACTATGATAAGGGCCATACAGGACTCTCTCAATTCTCTACAGAGTAGACTTTTAAGATCCTAAATCATAAAATACAGTTTAGAGAAGGTTATGTGCTTTCCCAGGGCACATATTGTTAGATTAAAAGCTGCCACATCTTAGAAGTCCTCCCCACTCCCTGCCTATTGATTGAATTTTTTTCATTAAGAAAATACAAATTATGTAAAATTAAATTTTCTTTGGTAAACCATTTGTATTTGAGACTCTTGATTTTTTTTAATTACTTGAGATATGATGAGTTATTTAGTGACTGTTTGAGAAGAGTGAATTGATTAAAATATTTTTAAAAAAGAAGGATTAGGACCCAATGAGCCAGTATATTAAATCAAGATTTGTTGAGAAACTCCATTTTCTATACATTCACACACTTTGTGGATTTGACTTTAATCATAATCCCTGTTGAACTTCAACTTTCGAGACTACATGTTCAATATTTTGTTCTCTCCTGCTTCTCTCTGACATTAACTTTCATTTTTTCTCACCTTTACCAGCTCTATTAAGGCCCATCTGTTGGTCTAGTGCCAGGCACGTTTGATTGCTTGTTCTCTGAATTTGGCACATCATGACTTGTTCTGAGATGTGTCCACCTTCTGCAGTCTGGTGGAAGTATAGAATTGCAGCTAGGCTAGGACCAAGCATCAAATAATTAAATCCATTAATAATCCTATGTGAATTCGTTAGTTGACCAACCTAATATTTGTTCTGGTTTTGAAAATATGTTTTGTTTGTTATGCTTTTTTTCCTAAGCATTTAAACTTGACAAGTATAAAAGCATAGAAAGTGAAGGATTTTTCTTGTACTTTTTTTGTTTTCACTTAAAACTGGTATCACAAACAGAGCCAACTCTAGTTTATGGGTAGTGACTGGGGCCAGTGTATTCCTAGTTTGAAATGACTGTCATAATCCATTAGCAGTAGCTAGTGTAAATTGAGCTGATTGATGCTGTCAAATTTTAATAAAACATTCATTTCTCCAAAGCCTCACTTTTTTCCTGAAGATCAAGTGATATAAGGATCCTGATATTCTCTAATATTTATGATAGATGCACTTTGCTTATCATAAACTGCACATGATATAGGTAGTGTTGTCATAGAGCTTTTGTTTGCATTTGATTATCAATCCTGGAAAACAGGAAGAATAAAATAAAGTAAATGATGGCTGAACTTAGACTGTGTCTACATGATGTAAAACAGCTAATCAACTTCCTGCATAAATTAATATGTTCATGTCTAGAGGTTAAAGGATTAGACATTAAAATAATACAATACCTATGCTGAGTAACTGTTGTTTATTCACAGTACATAATTTCAGACATTCATATTATAAGCCCATAAAATTTAGTGTAAGTCAGTGTCATTATGATACACTGTAATACTGTTTACTGTCTGCATAAAAAACAACTAATCTGGGACTCTCATGTAATGTGTTTTCTCCTGCTCTCTCTAGTCTTTATTTGTGTGTGTATATGTATGTATCTTTTTCCATTATTCTCAAGATTAAGGAAATACTATCATAAACTTTGTTTCTGATTTAAAATAATCTATTAGAGTCTAGTAATTTACTTTTTTTATTTTTAGTAGAAATTTTAATTATGCCTTTTATTTTGTGTTACTTTGTTAATTCAGAATATCTTTTCTATGGATATTTTATTACATATAACACATATGTTTATGTATATAAAATTTTACTCTTTTTTTCCAGCTTCTTCCCTTTTAAGTGGGAAATAAAGCAGTTAATGCTTTTCTTTATTTTAATTCAACCCTAATAATGTGTAGAAGTTGAAATACGTTTTTGAAAATTCTGTCGTTTACCTCAAAATCTGAGTGAATGGAAATATAAGGTATTTTGAATTCTATTTCTCACCAAGGTGAGTTTATAGAAAGATTATACGGAAAGATAATATTAAACAAATACATTAAAAGATAAATCATCCTCACAGTTGTGTTATATAATCTTACTGTGTTTAGTTTTTTATCTTCTCCCTCAAAGAATCCTTTATTCCTATTCCCTTGACCTATTTACTATTCTGTCACATTTGACAAAATAGATTTTCTTCTTGAAATACTTGATTTTCTTTTCCTTTACCATATTTATCTATAGACAGTATATCATATATATAGATATATATCTTTTATTTGTATGATAACTTATGTTTCTTTATATCCCAACCCATACATTCTCATCCTCTACCCTACCGAATGGAGGACTTGTAAGTTCTTAAAACTTACATATTTCAGACATTACATTTCACTTTTAGATGAGGCAATTTTTTTTTATAATATGACTCTCATCCTAATAATTTCAACATGCAACTGAATTGATTATTTTCCTTTATTCATAGGAGAGAAAGAGTAGAGAAAATGGAGTACTAACTTTCCTAATATAAGGGTGTTAGTATCATTGCACTGTATCTCATAGACCAATAAAATATTTCTGCATGTGTCAAAATAAAGAAGAGGAGTGATAGATGAAGATGATGATGGTTAAAGTAAATTCAAGAAATTCTCGGCCAGGCGCGGTGGCTCATGCCTGTAATTCCAGCACTTTGGGAGGCCGAGGTGGGCAGATCATGAAGTCAGGAGATCGAGACCATCCTGGCTAACACAGTGAAACCCTGTTTCTACTAAAAATACACAAAATTAGCTGGGCATAGTGGCGGGCGCCTGTAGTCCCAGCTACTCGGGAGGCTGAGGCAGGAGAATGGCGTGAACCCGTGAGGCAGAGCTTGAAGTGAGCCGAGATCATGCCATTGCACTCCAGCCTGGGCGACTGAGCGACACTCCGTCTCAAAAAAAAAAAAAAAAAAAAGAAATTCTCACTGTGATCTATTCTAAACTCTAGTTATAATATCAAAGATGTTCCATGTTCAATCTAAGAAATATTTATCTGATGACTATTAATAAATAGACACTTCCCACATTATCATTACCACAACCTAAATACATGTGTTCATGTTTGGAGGAGGAAAGGTGTACGTAGGTAGTGAGAAAGAAAACACTAAGTTCTATGTGGGTTTGATAACATCTTTCTTTTTTGGGGAACTTGAAGTAAACTATATTTTGGTATATTCTGATAAGCAGATAATCAGTCTGTCTTGGATGAATGAAAGGTATCAGATTTTTACCTAAGAAGACCAAGTGGTTAAATGACTCTCTTTTAAGGTTACACAGAAAAACAGTAGTAAAGGGGGAAAGAAAATCCAGAGTTTAAGCTTTTGAGTTTGCTTCGGATAAAGAGAACTGTGGGGGAATCTTCTCTGGGGCATTTGGTCTTTTACTTTTTAGCCACTCTCCTTGCAGAGTAATATTGCCAGCTTTATTTCCTCTTCTTACTTTTCTGTCTTCTATTAACTCAGAGTAATAGAAGCTGAGTCAAGTTAGAGAGCTGAGTCAAGTTAGACAGGCAAGTGAAATAAGCGGGTAGAGGAAGCAGCAGAAAGGCCCTGGGAGCTTGCTGGATCCCAAGCAGCCCATTCCTGCCTGGCACCACAGTGATCCATCAGGAGAGTGGCCAGAGGAGCAGGGGGTAAAAGTCCACAGGGAGAAGAAATTCTGTAGCTGAACTTGGTAACAATTTGAATGGGGCAAGAAGCCTCCTGGCCATAAGGGAGGACGCAAATGGGGCGTTCATACTTCACAGGCCGGGGGAAAAACTAAAGCCCTTTTCTTTCACAACTGGGAGGCGGACAGCCTTGGGCAAATTTTCAAGCCCATCTCGCCCTCCGCCTGGAAACAGACTTGGGGCTGTTGCGGGAACATGGTGGGAGTGAGACCGGCTCTTCCGTTTGCGTGAGAGTTGGGTGAGGCCTGTGACTGCCAGCTTTCACCCACTTCCCTGACAATCTGCATGACTCAGCAGAGGGAGCCATAATCCTCCTAGGTACACAACTCCAATGACCTGGGAATCTCACCCTCAACCCCCACAGCAGCCACAGCAAGACCCGCCCAAGGAGAGTTTGAGCTCAGACATGCCTAGTCTCGCCCCTACTTCATGGTCCTTTCCTATCCATCCTGGTAGTGGAAGACAAAGGACATATAATCTTGGGAGTTCTAGGGCTCTGCCCACTGCCAGTCCCTCTCCACACTACTACAGCTGATGCTTTCTGGAAAGTTCCACCTAATGGCAGGAAGCCAACCAGCACAAAAATAGAGCGTTAAACCACCAAAATTAAGAACCCTCATGGGGTCCATTGCAACCTGCTCCCCACAACCTCCACTGGAACAGGCGCTGGTATCCACTGCTGAGAGACCCATAGGCGGTTCACATCACAGGACTCTGTGTAGACAACCTGCAATACCAGCCTGGAGCCAGGTAGACTCGCTGCGTGGCTAGACCCAGAAGAGAGACAACAAACACTGCAGTTCAGCTCATAGGAAGCCACATCCATAGGAAAAGGGGGAGAGTATTACATCAAGGGAACACCCTGTGGGACAAAAGAATCTGAACGACAGCCTTCAGCCCTAGACCTTCCCTCTGACTGATCCTACCCAAATAAGAAGGAACCAGAAGGCCAACCATGGCTATATGACAAAACAAGGCTCTTCAACACCCCCCCACAAAAAATCACGCTAATTCACCAGCAGTGGATGCAAACCAAGAAGAAATCCCTGATTTACCTGAAAAATAATTCAGGAGGTTAGTTATTAAGCTAATCAGGGAGGGACCAGAGAAGAGCAAAGCCCACTGCAAGGAAATCCAAAAAATGATACAAGAAGTGAAGGGAGAAATATTCATGGGAATAGATAGCTTAAAGAAAAACAATAAAAAATTCAGGAAACTTTGGACACACTTTTAGAAATGCAAAATGCTCTGGGAAGTGTCAGAAACAGAATTGAACAAGTAGAAGAAAGAAATTCAGAGCTCAATGACATGGTCTTTGAATTAATCCAATCCAACAAAGACAAAGAAAAAAAATAAGAAAATATGAACAAAGCCTATAAGAAGTCTGGGATTATGTTAAATGACCAAACCTAAGAATAATCGGCATAGCTGAGAAGAGAATTCTAAAAGCCTGGAAAACATATTTGGGGGAATAATCGAGGAAAACTTCCCCAGCCTTGCTAGAGACCTAGACATCCAAATACAAGAGGCACAAAGAACACCTGGAAAATTCATCACAAAAAGACCTTCACCTAGGCACATTATCAGGTTACCCAAAGTTAAGATGAAGGAAAGAATCTTAAGAGCTGTGAGACAGAAACACCAGGTAACCTATAAAAGAAAACCTATCAGATGAACAGCAGATTTCTCAGCAGAAACCCTACCAGCTAGAAAGGATTGAGGACCCATCTTCAGCCTCCTCAAATAAAATTATCAGCCAAGAATTTTGTTTCCAGAGAAACTAAGCATCATATATGAAGGAAGGATACAGTCATTTTCAGACAAACAAATGCTGAGAGAATTTGTCATTACCAAACCACCACTACAAGAACTGCTAAACGGAGCTCTAAATCTTGAAACAAATCCTGGAAACACCTCAAAACAGAAACTCTTTAAAGCAAAAATCACACAGCACCTATAAAACAAAAATGCACATTAAAAAGAAAAAACAGAAAACAAAAACCAAAGTACCCAGGCAAGAAAGAGCATGATGAAAGCAACAGTACCTCACATTTCAATACAAACATTGAATGTAAATGACCTAAATGCTCCACTTAAAAGATACAGAACTGCAGAATGCATAAGAACTCACAGACCAACTATCTGCCGCTTTCAGGAGACTCACCTAACACATAAGGACCCACATAAACTTAAAGGGGTAGAAAATGGCATTTCATGCAAATGGACACCAAAAGCAAGCAGGGGGTAGCTATTCTTATATCAGACAAAACAAACTTTAAAGCAATAGCAGTTCAAAGAAACAAAGAGGGACAGTATATAATGGTAAAAGGCCTTGTCCAACAGTAAAATATCACAATCCTAAACATGTGCACCTAACACTGGAGCTCCGAATTTATAAAACAATTACTAATAGACCTAAGAAATGAGATAGACAGCAACACAATAATAGTGGGAGACTTCAGTACTCCACTGACAGCACTAGACAGGTCATCAAGACAAAAAGTCAACAAAGAAACAGTGGATTTAAACTATACCTTGGAACAAATGGACTTAACAGATACATATAGAACATTTCATCCAACAAGTGCAGAATGCACATTCTATTCAGCAGCACATGGAACTGTCTCCAAGATAGAGCATATGATAGGCCATAAAATGAGCCTCAATAAGTTTAAGAAAATTAAAATTATATTAAGCACTCTTTCAAATCACAGTGGAATAAAACTGGAAATCAACTCCAAAAGGAACTTTCAAAACCATGCAAATACATGGAAATTAAATAACCTGCTCCTGAATGAGCGTTGGGCCAAAAATGACATCAACATGGAAATTTAAAAATTCTTCGAACTGAATGATAATGACACAACCTATCAAAACCTCTGGGTTACAGCAAAGGTGATGCTAAGAGGAAAGTTCATAGCCCTAAATGCCTACATCAAAGTCTGTCTTGCTGGTGTTACAGGTGCCACTGGGGTGTGAAAAAAAACTCCTGCAGCTAGCTCAGTGTCTGCCCAAACGTCCACCCAGTTTTGTACTTGAAACCTAGGGTGCTGATGGTGTAGGCTCCCAAGGGAATCTCCTGGTCTGCGGTTTGCAAAGACCGTGGGAAAAGCATAGTATTGGGGCCAGAATGCACTGTCCTTCATGGCACAGTCCCTCATGGCTTCCCTGCTAGGGAGCCAAGTGGTCTAGCTCAGTGGATCCCACCCCACGGAGCCCAGCAAGCTAAGATCCACTGGCTTGAAATTCTCACTGCCAGCACAGCAGTCTGAAATCGACCTGGGATACTTGAGCTTGCTGGGCGGAGGGGCGTCCACCATTACTGAGGCTTGAATAGGCTGTTTTTCCCTCACAGTGTAAACAAAGCTGCAGGGAAGTTCCAACTGGGCAGATCCCACCACAGCTCAGCAAAGCCACTGTAGCCAGACTGCCTCTCTAGATTCCTTCTCTCTGGGCAGGGCCTCTCTGAAAGAAAGGCAGCAGCCCCAGTCAGGGCCTTATAGATCAAACTCCCGTCTTCCTGGAACAGAGCCCCTGGGAGAAGGGGTGGCTGTGGGCACAGCTTCAGCAGACTTAAATATTGCTGCCTGCTGGCTCTGAAGAGAGCAGCTAATCTCCCAGCACAGCACTCAAACTCTGCTAAGAGACAGACTCCTTCCTCAAGTGGGTCCCTGATCCCCATGCCTCCTGACTGGGAGACACCTCCCAGCAGGGGTCGACAGACACCTCATACAGGAGAGCTCTGGCTGGCATCTGGCAGGTGCCCCTCTGGGACGAAGCTTCCAGAGGAAGGAACAGGCAGCAGTCTTTGCTGTTCCACAGTCTCCGCTGGTGATACAGGCAGATGGCCTGGAGTGGACCTCCAGCAAACTCCGGCAGATCTGCAGGAGAGGGGCCTGACTGTTACAAGGAAAACTAACAAACAGAAAGGAATAGCATCAACATCAACAAAAAGGACATCCACAGAGAAACTCCAGCTGAAGGTCACCAACATCAAAGACCAGAGGTAGATAAATCCATGAAGATGAGGAAAAACCAGCACAAAAAGGCTGAAAATTCCAAAAACCAGAAAACCTCATCTTCAAAGGATCACAACTCCTCACCAGCAAGGGAACAAAACTGGACTGAGAATGAGTTTGATGAATTGACAGAAGTAGTTTTCAGAAGGTGGATAATAACAAACTCCTCCGAGCTAAAGGAGCATGTTCTCACCCGATGCAAGGAAGCTATGAACCTTGAAAAAACGTTAGAGGAAATAATTGCTAACGAGAATAACCAGAGGAATAATTTTCCTCTAGAAAGCTCTGAGAACTGATAAAATAATTCAGCAAAGTTTCCTGGTACAAGATTAATATACACAAATCAGTAGCTCTTCTATACACCAACAGCAACCAAGCAGAGAATCAAATCAAGAACTCAACCCCTTCTACAATAGCTGCAAAAAAATATAAAATACTTAGAAATATACCTAACAAAGGGGTTGAAAGACCTCTACAGGGAAAACTACAAAACACTACTGAAAGAAGTCACAGATGACACAAACAAATGGAAACACATCCCATGCTCATGGATGGGTAGAATCAATATTGTGAACATGACCATACTGCCAAAAGCAGTCTACAGATTTAATACAATCCCCATCAGACTACCACCATCATTCTTCACAGAATTAGAAAAAAACAGTTCTAAAATTCATATGGAACCAAAAAAGAGCCCACATAGCCAAAGCAAGACTAAGCAAAAAGAACAAATCTGGAGGCATCACACTACCTGATTTCAAACTATACTGTAAGGCCATAGTCACCAAAACAGCATGGTACTGGTATAAAAATAGGCACATAACCAATGGAACAGAATAGAGAACCCAGAAATAAACCCAAATCCTTAAGGCCAACTGATCTTCGACAATGCAAACAAAAACATAAAGTGGAGAAAGGACATCCTTTTCAACAGATGGTGTTGGGATGATTGGCTAGCCACATGTAGGAGAATGAAACTGGATCCTCATCTCTCACCTTATGAAAAATCAACTCAAAATGGATTAAGGACTTAAACCCAAGACCTGAAACTATAAAAATTCTAGAAGATAACATTGGAAGAAACCCTTCAAGACACTGGCTTAGGCAAGGATTTCATGACCAAGAACACAAAAGCAAATGCAATAAAAACAAAGATAAATAATTGGGACCTCCCACAGAGTGGGAGAAAATCTTCACAATCTATACATCTGACAAAGGACTAATATCCAGAATCCACAATGAACTCAAACAAATCAGTAAGAAAAAAACAATCCCATCAAAAAGTAGGCTCAGGACATGAATAGACAATTCTCAACAGGATATATAGAAATGGCCAACAAACATGAAAAAATGCTCAACATCACTAATGATCAGGGAAGTGCAAATCAAAACCACAATGCAATACCACCTTACTCCTGTAGGAATGGCCATGATCAAAAAATCAAAAAACAGTGGATGTTGGCATGGATGTGGTCAACAGGGAGCACTTCTACACTGCTGGTGGGAATGTAAACTAGTACAGCTACTATGGAAAACAGCGTGGAGATTCCTTAAAGAACTAGAAGTAGAACTACCATTTGATCCAGCAATCCCACTACTAGGTATCTACCCAGAGGAAAATAAGTCATTATTCGAAAAAGATACTTGCACACGCATGTTTATAGCAGCACAATTCACAATTGCAAAGTCATGGGACCAACCCAAATGCCCATCAATCAACAAGTGGATAAAGAAACTGATTCATATATATATATATATATATATATGATGGAATACTATGCAGCTATAAAAAGGAATGAATCATATATATATGATGGAATACTATGCAGCTATAAAAAGGAATTAATTAACAGCATTTGCACTGACCTAGATGAGATTGGAGACTATTATTCTAAGTGATGTAACAGCAATGGAAAACCAAACATCATATGTTCTCACTGATATGGGGGAGCTAAGCTATGAGGACGCAAAGGTGTAAGAATGATACAGTGGACTTTGGGGACTTGAGGGGGAAGAGTGGGATGGGGGTGAGGGATAAGAGACTACAAATATGGTGCAGTATATACTGCTTGGGTGATGGGTGCACCAAAATCTCACAAATCACCACTAAAGAAGTTACTCATGTAGCCAAATACCACCTGTACCCCAATAATGTATAGAAAAACGAATAAATAAAATATTATAAGTTTATATATTTTAAATAAACAACCTAAAATGGCTTTTTGTGTGCTAAAAAAAAATCACAGCCATCTCAAGAACCATTAACCTCATCAGGTTCTTAAGTTTTCTGGTACCTAGCTAAGTTCTTTGATTTATATCCTGATCTAGAGTTCCTGGACAAGCTAGGCTGATGGTTGAATGAGTCATTCATACTTGTTAATCATATTTAATTTAATTTTCTAAGTGCAGTATTTCTGGATCTGTTCCATTCTCATATTCTATCCTCAACAAGCACAGCTGGTATTAAAAAAAAAAATTACCACGCAATCAGGAAACATAGCACAAGCACACATGGTCAGATGGTGATAAATGTAGAGAAGAATAAAGGTGGCAGGAAATAAGAAATAAAACAATAAGGGTTTGTACACTTTCAGGTTGTAAATCTGAACCAGGAATGGGGTTTTACTCTCTGAGGTCTTCCACAATGCAGGATGAATGTATTAGAGCAGCATCTCTCTAAAGTGTCTTCCCCTCTCTGCCTCCCTAGTCCAAAAAGCTGTTGAAAGATAAAATGTTTACTCATCGAAGTATTTCCAGATTAGTGAATTGTACTCATTCGTGTTCATTGGCTGGAAGTTAGTGAATTAATGGGAAAATGTTAGGATTTATGGCTCACTCTTTTGAAAAATGAGTGTCATGTGAGGGGAAGAATATTAACCCAGGAATCAGGAAAATTAGATTCAAGGTCTGTCTCCACCATGGGACTCTGGGCATGCCAGTTAATTGCTTTCAGTCTAATTACCTATAAAGTGAAGTAGATGGACTTTTAATGTGCATTTGAATGAGGACAAATGGAGTTTCATGGAGTTTCAAGTAGAATGGAAGCTAAAACGTTTGAAATAGTAATACTTTAAGCCTTTCTTGGATGAAAAGTTATCAGACTGTAGAAAAATAGTTTTGGCCTAAAAAGAAAATTGTACTTTGTTCAACAAAATTTTTGGAATATTTATTAAATGCTTACCACATGCTGATCATTGTCTTAGAGGCCTAGCTTCTTATATGTTAAGACCATATTTTTATTTCCCAATCATGTCTTTGAAGAAAGACAATCTAGGTTATGGCTGATAATGCCTCTTTATCCCAAGATTGTGTAGCAGACTTATCACCTGATGTGATAGACTTTCCTTGGCTCCCATAATGTAGGAGTAGGCTCAAGCCCTATGAACTCCACTGGCTTCTCAGCTCATGTGCACACGGTTTATAAGGGAAAGGGTGTACTTTCTCCCTCTGGAGTCTAAAACCCTTTTTGATGGCAGGTAGGTAACTCACTATCCTAGCAAACAAAACAAAGCATTCTCATCAGAGGAGGCTTGGAGCAGAATGCCTTTATAGCGAGCTATCAGAATGTTTCTAATCATTTTCCATTTCCCTGTGTATATATTGCATACCTGTCTCTGTTTAGGTTGCCCCAAAACCAGGCCCTAAGACAAGGACTTGGGTGCAGATGATATTTTGGGGACGATATCAAGAGGATGAGAAAAGGAGTAAGGGAAGTGGAATAGAGAAGGAAGAAGAGGCAGTAAAGAGAGCATTGGTAAGCAGGCTATGTCAGTAGGCAACTGGAGCACAGTCCTGCTGAGTACTCTCCAAGGAACAGTGTAGATTGTCCTCAGAATTAGTCCAGGGGTATTTATCCACAATCCCCATTCCCTCAACTTGAGTGTTGACCCTGCGGATGTTAAATGCACTTCCTCCAGGCTTTCCTGAGAAATCACTTATGGTGCCAGAGCTGTCATGTAGACAAGTAGAGAGACAAAGAAAGTTGAGCTAGAAACTGTCAGATTCTATAGTGAGTTTCCATGATGGCTGCAGGGTAATTCAGAGGGTGATCTAGAGCATATGGGGCAAGGCATGAAAAGCACCTCTGAAAAATCCTGTCTCCAAATATGTGTAAAAATAAGTTAGCACAATATGGATGTGAACTTTCTTAGTACTGTTCATGGATACAGCAAATCCATTTTTAGTAAAAAAAAAAAAAAAGTCAATGATCCCTGGCTAACCATGTGGAAAATAACCAATAAAAATTGGAGATTCATGCTAACAAATGATGAAAATATATTTTCTTGAATATTATTATCCTTTTTTCTTTGTATGATTCACAAATAATTTTGTCCTGTTACAGGAATCTGAAAAATACATCATTAATGTATGTATGTATTTATGCCTTCAACCAATATTTACTGTATCATTGCTGTACATTCAAATCCCTACCTAGGGATTGAAGGGGACACAAACAAATGATTTTTGTTGTGTTTTTTTTTTTAAAGTTTCTTTAAATGGAGTTATTTTGTGTGCGGAAACATGGTACATCAAATATTAATACAACCTTTGGTGTTAGATCTGGATTTGAATCCAAACCCAACACACCTACTCTCTGTGTAAACTCCACAAGCTACATAATAACTTCTCAGGTCCTCAGTGATTTGGAAATCAGGAATTATAATACCTCCCAAATGTGATTACATGAGAAAGCATGTATGATTGAGGCCCATGGGAGCAACTACATCTGTGTTCACTTTCCTTCTGCTCCCTGTGTACTGCAGTTTATAAAGTCCCAGGCGTTTGTGGAAAGCAGAAACATCCCACCGTTAATCCACCTTCTTTACCCTCTACCCGTCGATACAGGATTTGAGGCATCCTCTGGAGACACAAAATTGCTATAATACCCTTCTTTTATGCATGTCTCTATTTTCAAAATTCAGGAAAGAATCATGATGGTGTTCTTCTAGCTTGTACATGTTATAGTAGTGCCCTTCACTTCAATATTAGATATGTTCTTTTCATCTTAGATTTATGTCAAGGAGAAAAGACCTCGATGACCTTAGGATGATAAGATCTAATAAAGCCTCCTTAGATGGTGGGGGATCTGTAGCTAAATATGCCCAATGTGGCGTGACTTGTAGTTTACATCAAAAGATTGTCAAATCCTTTTGTCATGCTTCCTGAATCAGATGTGAATTTAAGGTTCTGTGGTAATTAGTGGAAATTCATCTCCATGGTTTGTAAAGTATCAGCAACTAAGGTTTCAGGTGCCTCAGGACATCTTTAGAAATATGAAAACATATTTCCTTGCCTTCCTTTTTCTGAATTATATATTTCACTGAAAGGTAAGGAGAAGAAATGGAGGTGCTGTTAATGAGTTGAAATAGCATGAAGTCCAGGGATGTGTCCCAGAAAATAGACTTTCTGTGCCAATAAAGCAGAACCTTGTCCCCAATATATCTGAGTTTGAAGGTAACACCAGTCTGGCTGATTCCGGGTAGACTATTGTAACATTGTAGAAGTGCCCAGGTCTTAATTCACTCTTTACACACACAGGTAGCAGGCACTCTGCCAGGGACCAGAGATACACAATATGACTTACACCATTTTCAGGGAACTTATGGTCTCTTTTGCTTATCTTTAAAAGCATATGCTGTGACCTGTCTTGAAAGGTTGCTTGAAGATGAAATAAGACAGCAAAGTGCCAGCCACAAAAGATGTGAGGAAGTTCTATTTTCCTCTTCCCAGATTTACATTTATTCTTCTCTATGAGTTCACTATCCAGGCTCTCATCACTTGGCCATGGTTCTTCTGAAAAAATTTTCCCTCACCACAGCATTTCAACTTAAATCTCCTTCATGGCTTTTCCTACTCAATTTGAACCGTAATGGTGGTGCTGTCCAAGTCTTGGCTTGCAACTCTACTCAGAGACCTATTCCAGTCCCATTAGGCCAATGACCATCTACATGTTAAAGAAGACCTAATCTGTAGTTGCAGGTCAGAACTCCTCTGCCATACACACTCATATATTCAACTGCTGGACATTTCTACTTTTGAATATTCCACTCTCACCAGTCTCAGTATGCCTAAAACTGAATCCCTATCACTTTCTGCCAATTCTGCCCCTCCCCTTATAATCCTCTTCTCAATGATGCATGTGGCCAGTTGGCTGCCCGAGCCTTTAGCTTGAGAGTGAACACATCCAAATCCAATCAGCTGTAATTTCCTTCAATTTTATATCCCTAATATCTCTTGTATCCTTCCTATGATCTTCATTCCATTTTCTGTCAGGCCTTGCTTTAGTCAGAGCTCATATTATTTGCAACAGAATCCCACTTAAACCTAACTTTAAAAAGATAAGTTGGTGTACAATAAGGAAATAGGGCCTAAAGGCAGGAAATATAGCTGGGCCTGGCAGAGGGTTGAAATCAGAAACTAGAGAGTCACTTGCTCAGCTTCTGTGTGCCCAAGGTTTTTTGCTGTTATTTCTGTAGGGTATATGCACCCTTCTTCTTTCTCTTAGAGAACATCCTCTTCTCTTGCTTGTATCTGGTCAATCTCTACCACCATAACTTTGGAGGTACTTCTAGTTCAAGCATCCACAATAGATTGGAATTGTCACAATTCTTAATTCCCAAAGAGAAAAAGATCAAAGTGAACCTACCCTAGCCTGAGCATTTGAGGGCAGGGGGCTTGACAACACTGTAGAGGGATGCACAGAGGATTTTCCTGCCTTAAATCTCAACTTCCTCAATTGAGCCTTGGTTATCTCTGCCTCTAAACTTTCTGCAACAAAATCAATTATGTCTCATCTTGACATAAATGATTTAATGTGTCCCACAGCTTTCAGCGAAGTTCAAAGTCCAGGGCCCTTTGTGGCTTTTGCCCATCTTTGCACTGCTTCATGTCCAACCACTGCCCTACGCAAGGGTATATAAAGAAGGGTGTGTAAAGCTACAAGTTTCATAACTTCTCAGGGCATCAGTGATCTGGAAATCAGGAATTATAATTAGGCACAAAGATGAGATGTATAAGGTATAAAAAGGTACATGTACCTCCTGCTACATGGAACCTCCTGTACTTCTGGCAATGATTAAAGCTAATCCAAGCTTCAGTGCCTTCATGTGTGCCATTCTCCCTAGCTGAAATAGCTAGCTTACCCTAAAAGACTTCCAAACTTAGGTCACATGTCATCTCCCTGAACCAAGGGGCCAATGTAAATGTTCCCCTTCTGGCCTCCTTTAGCACTCTGAGTGGATATCTATGAATAGTTATTTATTATATTATAACTGCAGATGTGTCTATTTCCTCCAAAAGACCGTACACATACTAAAAATGCCCCCTTGCAATATTCCCCAGGGAGAACCAGCTAGATTTTAGTTACTACTGACTGTTTTGTTTTTATTCTGTTCATATCCAGAGTCATAGCATGATGTATAAGGGGAATGAGTCACTCTCTGATAGTGTGAGTCTTCCTTAACTAGTCTGCAGACATGACCTTAGGAAAATAAAAGCCACAACATTCAAGCTTTGAGAAGAGGATCTTTCAAAAATGTTGCCAAGTTAGTCCTGACCTTTAGAATTAGAATTAGTGACAGGCTATAATGACATATCTAATGATTTATAATATTGGATAGGTTTTCATAATTTTATTTATTTATTTATTTTTCCCTTCTTGAGGAGAATGGGGTCTTGCTATGTTGCCCAGGCAGGTCTTAAACTCCTGGGCTCAAGCTATCTTCCCACCTCTGCCTTCCTAAGTGTTGGGATTGCAGGCATGAGCCACCGGTCCCAGCCATAAATTTAATTTGGATTTCAACACTGAAGATTTCCATAAAGTATTCTTCAAGTCATATCTCTTTCTCTTGGTTCCTTCTTTCTGAGGGCAGGTGAAAATCTAAGTTAGTCAGTTCTGTTCAAATTTGTGATTATGCTTCCTGTGGCTGATAGAATTGCAGGATTTCAAATGCTATTAAGCCGCTCCATGCAGAGACAAATAGTCTGATGACCTGCCATTCATGGCAGGAAGAGAAATGAACAGTGTTTCTTGCTAGAACTTCTTCATTTATTTCGATAAGATCATTTCTTACTGGACAGATTAAACCTTAGAGAACTACATATAAGGTTCTCCTATTTCTATTTTTGAAAAAACACTCAGTACCAGAAAATATAGAAAATGTATAAAGTAGATTTAACTGTGAAATTTCAACTTTAGTTTCCAGCATAGAATTAACAGCCTCCTCCTGGATTCTTCCAATGATCCCTCTGTAATGTCCCTAAGTCTCTTTCCTCAGCTGCTTATCCAAAAGTGTAATCATTTATCTAAGACTGTTTGCAAGGACCAAATTTAGTCCTCAGGCATGCCTTCTTTAGAAAGTGCAGTTTTTACATTTGTTAAATTACACATTAAAGTCCACATTTCCAGAGATGGCATTGCCTCTTGGAGATGATGTAGGTCCTCTCCCGTTCCCTGCATTCCCTGCTGCTCCACATAACCTGGCCTCATCTATGCCTTTGAGGTTGTGCCACCTGTCCTAAGGAATCAACATTCGATTAGCATTCTACTTAGAACTTTCACCATATATGTCCTGTTCTGGGCTGGGTTGAAAAGAAAGCTGACAATTAGAGTGGCTCTGGTTTTAGGAATTGCTAGTTGTTATGTCAACAGCTATGGACATTCATAGAATCTTCAGTTTCATTTTTTATCCCCAAGACCTTCATTTCACATTAAAAGAATTCTTTTTGAGGCTGTGTGCACAAGGCTGCTATTTGCCACCCCTTACAATCCCTTTTTATCAACTAACAGGGAGTTAGGTCATAGCTAACTTAAGATTCAGAATCAGACAGACTATCTAACAATATTGCTAGAATTAACTGAAATATCATAGTTAATCTACTCTAATGTGACTAAGTCATAGAAGCTTATTTTTTATTATTTTATCTGGCATTAGACAGACCTGGAATCAAATTTCTTGTTTCCTGACCACTTGTGCTACCTTGAGTAATTTATACAGACACTCTAAGTCTCAACTTTCTTATTTGTAGATGGCATGATACTTTTCAGGGTTGTGTTTTTTCCCCATTCTTACCCATCTCAGTGAGTGATACTACTATCCCTCTAGTTGCTCAGGCCTCAAATCCAGGATTTTGGCCAGGAATCTTTGATTCTCCTTTTATCTGTACTCCTCATATCTATTTCTTTTGCAAGTCTTAGCACTAAAGCTATGGTTCCTGAACGGCCTGGAGCCACAGGGCACCCTTCACAGGAGACCACAGGATATTTTAAATTTTCAGACGAAATAATGACATAGATGTACTACTACTGTTAAGTAGTATGTACCTTATAAAGTGGAACTGCTAGGTAATTTAGACCTATGTGTGCTATGAAAAAAATTACTGAGACACCAAGGGCACCATGAAGCAAGAAAGTATGGGAACCTCTGCTCTATTATTTAGCATGCATCCTTCCTATATTTATCTTCATTTCACTGCTGCCATCTGCCCAAGTCACTGTTGCCTCTCATCACTTACTGCAATAGCTGGCCTTCCAACTGGTCTTCCTGCATCCATGCTCATCCTTCATAAGCCATGTTCCACAGAGCAACTAGAATGAACTTTGAGAAATGTAGATAAGGTCATAGCTTTCCTTCACAGTTTATTCTTATTTATTTATTGTTAGGCAGGGTCTTGCTCTGTCGCCCAGGCTGGGGTGCAGTGGTGCCATCTCAGCTGACTGTAACCTCTGCCTCCCAGGTTCAACTGATTCTCCTGCCTCAGCCTCCTGAATAGCTGAGATTACAGGCACATGCCCCCACGACTGGCTAATTTTTGTATTTTTTTTGGTAGAGACAGGGTTCCACCATGTTGGCCAGGCTGGTCTTGAACTCCTGACCTCAAGTATCCACCCACCTCAGCCTCCCAAAGTGCTGGGATTACAGGCTCCATTACACTTTAAATCAACCTGGCTTTTCACATGGTCCACAGACTGTGCCTGCTTGTCCCCCATCTTCTCCATCATCCCACCCCCACCTTTATCCCCTGGTTCATTAAGACTTAACTGCCCCAGCTTTTTTCTTTCATGTTTCTCAAAATCTCCAGATTTGTTCTCAACTTAGAGGCTTTTCAGTTGCTTTCCCTTCTGCTAGAAAGATCTTCCTCTGTATCTCATTGTGGCTGCTTCCTTGTCACTTGCGTCTGAATTTAAACAGCACACCTCAGATAGGCCTTGACCTTGTTTGGAACAGCCACCTTTTTCCATCAATATCACATCAATCCATTTTTTCCCGTCATGTTTATCATTGTCTAAAATTCTGCTTATTTATTTGTTTATTAAGCTCCATGGGTAGAGCCCCCATCTGTACTGTTAACCTTTGAACTGTCTCCAGCACACAGTAGGCACTCAAAAAATACTGGTTGCATGAGAAACGCAGACAACTGCTTCATCTATTTCCCTTTTTTGTAACCAGATGTTGACGTTGATGATTGTGCTTCTGTTGCTCCTTTTTTATAGTCAAGTCTTGCTGAACTTTTAAAAGATGAGGAACTAGGTGTTTAGGGGTCATTTTAAGCATTGGATCATTTATTCATATTGCTTTAGTGGTCAAAAAAAGAAGTGTACTACTATTGTACTGTACTTTATTTGAAGTGCCTGATTCCCCCCAATCCTTAGTAAACTGATTAAATAACTGGAAAAAAATATCCATTTTCTATTTCCTACTTTACTGGAGCAATATATAGTAAAATCAAAATCACCCTGTATACTACTTATTCCATTAAAACACCAAACTGAAAGCAGCATGGAAGAAAATGTGTTGCAAGAGCCTTAAGGTTTATTTTTTCACCTTTTCTAGGAAATGAATAAACTAGATTGCCAAGTTATATTGTGCAAGGTCTGTTTTCAGTTTGGGGAGATGAAAGAAAAGAACAGCTACAAGAGTAACAAAATAAAGGTCTTGAATGGGCCTCAATAAAACTATGATATTAGGATAATATACTATTATATAAAATGAATTAAAATTATAATACTATTTTAGTAATTAGTATAAAATCAAAACAACTAAATTTGGATATTTATTTACAATTTTGGATATTTACATTCTGACCATTTGTTTTGTGGGAGGGTATTTTTTTCTTTCATTAGGCTTTGCAGAGTCCATTCCTAACGTACTAGTTGGCTTAAATTTAAAAGTTAAATTGGAATTTACAAGCTCAGTTGAAATTGGGAATCATTTTCCAATAGTGTGTGGCACTTTAAGCTGGTAAACAAAATCCTCTTTTGCCTTACCATATCTGAAATATAAAATCAATCTGTCATTACTATCATAGAACCTCCCAAGTTACAACTCTAAGATTTACAGTGTATTTTCTCCCGACCCCAGCATTCCTATAGCATCAGCTCCAGATGAGAGTAGAATAAAGGAACACAGATACTCAGGAGGCCCACGTGTCTCTGGGTGCAGGTGCAGGTAGGTGCCAGCCACTGCTGGCAGGCGAATAGGGCTGTTGGAAAGGGAGTGGCAACAGCAGAGGCATTGGTAAGGGCAGCTAGTTGTGGTAATGAGAGCTCTGGTCTCATTTAGTAGCAGGCATTAGTAGTAGTACTCATTTAATAGCAGGGCATTTGTTTTGCCCTTGATAAGGGAAGAAAGAAGTAGACGATCCTTATAGTGGTTCTGACAGCAACTGTTAGGGAGGGAGGGGGCGCAAGATTGTTTCTCTGTATCAGTGGTTAGTAAGCTGTATGTTTGGACATAGTATTATCTCTAATATGAATATTTTAGTTGACAATTCAAATGATTTCTAAAGTCAGAAAAACTGAAATGACTGGGGCTTCTCAGAATGAATCATACAGAAATTCAGTATTTATTAACATATTTATTAGAAGGCCAATTTGTGAATTAATTTGGTTATTAAAATTATATTGCTCACTTAGTTTGCATGTATATAATGTGTAAAGGACCAGATAAAAAATGTTGGTAAGCTATTTATTTTAATTGTAGGGTATGAATCAAATTGCTTGACTGCTTTGGAGATTGATCTATTAAAGCACAGTGAAATGAGTTTGCCTAATTTGCTGATTTTAAGGTTTTTTCATTAAACAATAAATGATGTTCTGAAGTCAGAATATTTATGTGGCAGTCACAGTCTTGTTTTAAGGGTATTCATGTTTTTATTTTGAATTTAATTTTTATCACAGTATTACATACACAAAAGTCAAGATACTATAAATCTTACTGTGAAAGGCAGTTGTCCCTGGCCCTCCCTTTCCCATCTCAAATTCTGCTTTCCAGAGGCAATTACTTGCACTTCTTTTAGATTTTTCTTTCAGTATTAACAACTGTATTTTTAAGTGAAAAATATGTATAATTTTTGAAATTCTGCACTGACTTTTCATTATGGAAGATGAAATGCTTCTTCCAACACTGCTCCCCCACAATACACACATTCACATTCACACATTCTTCCTGCCCCTGATATAATTATATCTCATTTTTGGATTAATTAATATATACCATTTTCATTACGATGATGATGGAAATATTGTTCCCCACTGAGCAGCTCTGTGCACTGTGATTAAATTTACTCTGATGTGTGCTGTGAGTCTTCTGTTTGCTCCTCTGCAGCACTTCCCCCTCCTCCACCTTGCTGCCTACAACCCATGATCCTGGCCTGCTGAAATGGCTCATACAGTTATACCAGGATTTTTTTCTCTCTCTCCTATAGTAGTAAGTAGGTGCCACATTCTTTTTCGTTTTTTGGTTTTTTTTTTTTTTTGAGACGAAGTCTCACTCTGTCACCCAGGCTGGAGTGCAGTTGTGCAATCTCCACACACTGCAACCTCTGCCTCCCGGGTTCAAGCGATTCTCCTGCCTCAGCCTCCTGAGTACCTGGGATTACAGGCATGCACCACCATGCCTGGCTAATTTTTGTATTTTTAGTAGAGACAGGGTTTCACCCTGTTGGCCAGGCTGGTCTCGAACTCCTGACCTCAGGTGATCCGTCCTCCTCAGCATCCCAAAGTGCTGGGATTACAGGCGTGAGCCACCACACCCAGCCCAAGTGCCGCATTCTTTAACTTGCTCAGTGTTCAGTGTACCCCTCACTAATTCTTTCTGCATACTTTTCAGTGGAGCTGTAAAGCCTCTTCCTTTACAGTTAAACCTAATGAGAAACACCCATAATCCATCCTGTGATTCTGCTCTTCTTACAGAACTTTCTCCTGCAGCCTCCAGTATCCTGCCTGCCTCTCCCATCTGGTTGCCCCCTGAGGGACAGCTGTAGAAATGCTCTTTACCCCTCTCTCTTGTGGCTGAGTTCTGTTTCCTATATTACATGTCTTTTGCTTTTTTTTTTTGAGATGGACTCTCACTCTGTCGCCCAGGCTGGAGTGCAATGGCTCGATCTCGGCTCACTGCAACCTCTGCCTCCCGGGTTCAAGCGATTCTCCTGCCTCAGCCTCCTGAGTAGCTGGGATTACAGGTTCCCACCACCACACCTGGCTAATTTTTGTAGTTTTAGTAGAGACAGGGTTTCACCATCTTGGCCAGGCTAGTCTCGAACTCCTGACGTCGTGATCCACCCACCTCAGCCTCCCAAAGTGCTGGGATTATGGGTGTTAGCCACTGCGCCCAGCCTCCCATGTCTTCTTTTTAGGCTGACTTCATCTTTATCATGATTCTTACTCTGTACTAGTTTCCTGTGAAAAGTTCAATGAGAAGTAAACAGTTTTGAGACCATGAAACTCTTTATTCAGTCCCCAGACTTGGGTTGTTTTTCTCCCTCAGAATTTTTAATGCCATAAATTTTCATTTTCTTGCCACTCCTTGCTGCTGGCCTTCACCATGTCTGCCATCCTCCTGTCTGCAATCCTGGACATTCATTTTCTCTGGACAGGACACCTCTGTCTCCTCCCCATGTGTGGGGAGGGCAAAGGATCTTGGCAGTGGAGTTGGGGGAGGCATCTTGTTGATTGTTACAAGGATTGTCAACCAGTCCTTTTTATAATCTACTGTCTGAGATATTTGGTACCTCCAATTCTTAAGACTTTCCAGAGTCTGTCATACAAATCATCCTGCTTCTTGCTGGCTTTACTTTGTTGTGATTAGGTTTTAGTTCTGCTGTGTTAAGCCAGTCACCACTTGTCTATCCTCTTTCCACTGTCCAAAGCTTCCAGTCTGATGTTCTTTATCCTTGCATACAAACTTTAATTACTTTATAGTCATTTTAGTGGAGAGTGTGAGGAAATAAAGCTGCTGGGTTTAACTGAACATCTTTCATAAGCCATTTAAAAATCTTGAGACAAGAAACAGGCAAGTTTGTAACTGAAATGCTTTTCTGAAATAAAAATGTTGCTTATTTTTTAACCAGTTACGCATTTAATATCCTTAATTTTTTAAGATTTTAATGTTTTAACTCTGTGCAGTAGAGCATCTAGCATTTTAGCTCTATTTTCTTTATTCCTCATGTTCTAAAAGAAGCACTCTTGATTCCACCACTCACACAAAAAGTGCAATCAGAGCCTGATTGGAGGGTTGGCAGGCTCTCAAATTGAGTAAGTACATTTGCATATTAGAAGGAACAGGATTTACTTTATAGAATTCTCTAATATGAGTAAGATTAAGATTTTTTTCACCCAATCCAGTAAGCAACAATTGGGCCAAAGCATAACTTATATTAGTGCTGTTTGAAGTTAAGATGTTTTGTTTTTTTCAAGAGTATGGGATGTGTAGCGTTTTTTGACTATTGAAGTACAAGATATTATTCAAGTAAAACATTTTTCCCTTTTCAAAATAATGTTGCTATAGGAAAGATTTCGATGAAGTAATGTAAGTAACAACTCTTAAATATATATCAGGACTTTAATATCGGAAATGTAATTCGTTTCCTGCAACATGAATACTTCATACCAAGCTTATAGTTATATAGATAATTTAATTTATACTTTAATGTTTTGGGTTCCAGTTTATTTGAAGTTAATTCATTTAATTATTTGTGTTTTGGGTACTTCATGGGCATGTACCATTTATCTTAAATGCTTTCCTTCCACAGGAGCTCAATAAGTGTTGATATAAAAACAATCATGTTGTGTATCTCTGGCGTAGTATTTTGAACATTGTAAAGCTTAATAAACTTGTCAAATTAATTAAAGCATATCCTGTAGCTTTTGTAAATGCCTCTTAAAATAAAAATTTCTGAATATGAAATAAACCAGATTTAGCCAAGTTACTATATCATTGCATAAAAACTTCTTGGTTTTGAAAAGCTGTTTTGACAGTAACAGTAGCAAATAAAATATTTTTTCTCGTTTGATATGTTATTGTTTAAAAAAGATAAATTCTAACCTAATGTAGACCACATATAATGAACACGCAATTTGGAGTATTAAACATTTTATTAATTGTAATAGATTATGAAATCCTGAACTACTTGTATTGTTACATATTTAGTATTTTATATTTTAAATGACATTTGGGGGAAAAAAACTCAAGAGTATGCTTTGACTAATATGTTTATATTCTTTCCAGGAAACTTCATATGACTCACCAATTTTCAGTTTAGTTTTTGATCTCTATTCTATACCTAGAAAATTTTAAATTCCTTAAGTATTTTGGTGTCAGGAATCAAAGGTAGAAGCAAACTTGCAGAGGTTGATTCTCCCAGGTTCTATAAAATGTACAAAATGTAGTGGATCATTTCATAAAAGGAATGGGTGTGGACTCAAAAGCACCAGGCCATTTGATTATGATACATGAACTGTAGACATATGGCTGACAAGAATCTTATCTGTTTAAAATACTTAGTGCAAAGTGTATTACTGTTCCATTTATATATGATCAAACTAAATGCTTTAGTTCTGGAGGTACTATAAATTATATGATACATTGATGGATTGCTTTATCAATTGTCCAGCTTTTCTCAATCAGATAGCATCAGGATATTTTTCTCTATAAATGAAACCTCTAAAAATTTTCACATTTAAAGTTAGAACTAGCTGGATGCAGGTGGCTCACGTCCGTTTTCCCAACACTTTGGGAGGCCGAGGCAGGAGAATCCCTTGAGCCCAGGAGTTCAAGACCAGCCTGGGCAACAAAGGGAGACCCTGTCTCTACAAAAATTAAAAAGCTCGCCTAGCATGGTGGCTCATGCCTGTAATCTCAGCTACTCAGGAGGCTGAGGTAGGAGGATCTCTTGAGCCTGGGAGATCAGGGCTTCATTGAGCTATGATTGGGCCACAGCACTTCAGCCTGAGTGACAGACTGAGACCCTGCCTGGAAAAAAGAAAAATAAAAAAGGTTAGAACTGTATTTGGTTTGTAAGACAGTAAAGATGATTTTATTACCTATTGAGATGATGACCTGGAAGTTGAAATACCAGTGGGCGATACAGCACATACTAAAGAGCAGCTTACAATACGCTGTCACATATCTCATTTATTTACAATTGATATCTGTGCTTGCATTTTGTAAATGTCAGAGCCATATAAATATGTCTGAGTTTTTAAAATTATAATAAAAGTCTGGGTAGCATTCTTGAAGGCACATATGATAACATGCCTTGGATCTTTCTGAGGCTGTAAACCTGAGATTTGTATGTAAGATGTTCTTAAAAATGGACTAAAGAGATATTTATCACTTTCTAAGTCTTAATATTAGTCACCCTTTTATAAGATATTATAATTATTTAAATACAAAGGGTTATTTATTTATATTTTTCTATAATTGAGGAATAATTATTGTGCTTTGAGGGACATTTTCATTCTCTTTGCTTTAATGTTCTAAACATGATTTAAGGTTCTCTTCAACAGATTTCCAATAATCTTTGCTTCAGTGTTATGAGTACTTAACCAAATATAAAAGCTTACCAAATTCGTGCCCAAATGAGAACATATGCTTCATTTTTATTTTACTATCTGTCATATTCATGAAGATCTAGATAGGATATCCTAACAATTGGGTTAAGGCTATTTAAAAAATTAATTTGGATAACTTAGACAAAGAAGGAAAATTGTTTATTTTATATTAAGCTCTGTATTACTGGGGAAAGACTGGTAAATATTGAGTGGGAATGATTAATTGGATTTGCTGAAAATTATTTTCTTTTAAAGCATCAGTATATAGACAGATATAGAGGAAAATACCAAATGAAAATAAAGTGGCAGTGATCTCAAAATGGGTGAGAAGTGATGTAGAGGGCTAGCATTACTAGTAGTGGCTCTTTTAGTAGTAAAAACTAAAATAATTGACATGAAAAAGATTTAGCCATTAAAAAATATAGTTTCTGAACCATAGCTTCCTAGCTTTTAAGTATTTCTTTACTTAAAGGAAAAAAAGTTAATTATTTGATATATTTTTAAAGTATGCAGGTGGAAGATGTTAATATATTATTGTTATATATGCACAACTGAATAACTGAAGTCATTGAGAAGTGTTACTATGACTACCTTTTTTGGTAAATAATGATTTTAGTGGTGAAAGATAAATGGCAGAAATTGAAAGATTTAATTAAAATACATTTAGTTCATCTTACTACTTTCTAACTAGTTTTAGGTAGATATTAAAAATGTGAATAATAAGGCCAGGCCTGATGGCTCACACCTGTAATCCCAACACTTTGGGAGGTAGAGGCAGGAGGATCCCTGAGCCTAGGAGTTTGAGACTAGCCTGACGATATGGTGAAACCCCGTCTCTACAGAAAAAAAGTACAAAATTAGCCGGGCATGATGGTGTACCCCATAGTCCCAGCTACTCAGGAAGCTGAGGTGGGAGCATAGATTTAGCTCAGGAGATCGAGTGAGCGATCCATGATCATGCCTTTGCACTCTAGCCTGGGTGGCAGAGTGAGACTCTTCCTCAAAAAAAAAAAAAAAAAAAAAAATTATCTGTATGTATAGGACACTTAACCTATTTATTCATCTGGTATGTTTTATGTCATGCTCCCTAATGTGTATGATGATATAAATAAATGTTGAAGAAAAATTTTAAACGGATAGTCTTTGGCAGATTTTTTACAATGTATTACATAGACAAAGAAACTTATTCTTCATACTTCTTTTATTTTGGCGGGGTGGGGGGTCTTTTTCTCAAGTTAGCTTTCTGTCATGCAAAACACAAAAGGTCAAGCCTATTGCATTTTACATTGCCAAACTTTTTTCTCTAGTATTTTCACCAAATACTGCCTCTGTTTTAAATAAGCTAGTCTTATCACTGTCCTCAAAAATTGAAAGAAAAAAAATGAAGAATAATTGAAAACAGTGATTCAAGCAAATACTTCTATACTAACGATACAATGATCCTAATAATTGCAGAATTATTTATAGTAGATAAATAGTAGATACTTAGTATCTATGTTGTGTCAGAAAAAGGTGAAGTCTATTTTAGATAAGCTAGTCTTATCACTGTCCTCAAAAATTGAAAGAAAAAAAATGAAGGAAGAAGAATTGAAAACAGTGATTGAAGCAAATACTTCTATACTAATGATACAATGATCCTAATAATTGCAGAATCATTTACAGCAGATAAATAGTAGATACTTAGTATCTATGTTGTGTCAGAAAAAGGTGAAGTCCTCCTAGCTTGCTAAATGACTAATTCAGCTTCCCACATATCTTCCTGACATTAAAAAAAGACAACAACCTGTGTATCTCTTCAGCTTAAATTTAGTAAAGGTATTCATTTTAGCTAGCAACTTTAGTCATTTTGTTTTCAAGACTGTTTTGGGCTTTCTGGAAGGCCAAAAGTATAGGATATTTTATAAAAACATCATTCATATTTTAAGAGTGTACATTATTAACATTCAAAAGATAAATGAAAGAAAATTATTTTAACATAACATTTTTTATTTTATTTCGTTTTAACTGTTTATCTTGATAAGCTGTATTCAATACAAGTAATTTTGGAGTTTTAAGTATAAAAGCCTTCAAGAAACATAGAACTATTATTTTAGTGAAAAGAATGAAAATCAGTAGCATGTTTGTTTTAATTCTTTTTTCCATATTTGTATAATATTCATATGCTTCATAGTTTTATAAACATATGCAGATGTGCATATTTTACCACATAATGTGCTCCGAGGGAGGCAGAATAGGTGTTGAGGTGCGATGAGGTTTGGTAAGCTTTTGTTACTAGTCAGTTCTCCATTTTGGCTTTCTTTTCTGAAAAATTTTTTATCGTGTTAAAATATATGTGTGTGTGTGTGTGTGTGTGTGTGTGCGCGTGCGCATATATATATATATATATACATATAATCACATAACATTTGTGATTTTACCATTCTTGAGCGTACAATTCAGTGTCATTCAGTATATTTACAATGTTGTGCAATCATCACCACTCTCCATTTCTGGAACTTTTTCATTGCCCCAAACAGAAACTCTGTACACATTAAACAATATCTCCCCATTTCCCCTTTACCTAGCCTTTGGTGACTTGTAGTCTGTTTTCTGATTTATGAATTTGCCTATTCTAGATACTTTATGTAAGTGGAATCATACAATATTTGTCCTTTTTGTCTGGTTTATTTGAGTTAGCATAATATTTACAAGGATCATCCTTATTGTAGCATGTATCAGAACTTTGTTCCTTTTCATAGGTGAATAGTATTACATTGCATGGATTACCACATTTTGTTTATTCATTCATTTGTTGGACACTTGTGTTGTTTCCACTTTTATTTACTGTAAATAATTCTGCAATGATCATTAGGATACAAGTATTTGCTTGAATCACTGTTTTCAATTCTTCTTCCTTCATTTTTTTCTTCCAATTTTTGAGGACAGTGATAAGACTAGCTTATCTAAAATAGACTTCACCTTTTTCTGACACAACATAGATACTAAGTATCTGCTATTTATCTACTGTAAATAATTCTGCAATTATTAGGATCATTGTATCATTAGTATAGAAGTATTTGCTTGAATCACTGTTTTCAATTATTCTTCATTTTTTCTTTCAATTTTTGAGGACAGTGATAAGACTAGCTTATTTAAAATAGAGGCAGTATTTGGTGAAAATACTAGAGAAAAAAGTTTGGCAATGTAAAATGCAATAGGCTTGACCCTTTGTGTTTTGCAAGACAAGCTTTTGCAAGTTTTGCAAAGTTTTGCAAGCTAGTTTTGTAAGACTAGCTTATCTAAAATAGAGGCAGTATTTAGTGAAAATACTAGAGAAAAAAGTTTGGCAATGTAAAATGCAATAGGCTTGACCCTTTGTGTTTTGCAAGACAGAAAGCTAACTTAAGGAAAAACCCCCATACACACACAAAAAGTCATTGTATTGTATAAGTAAAAAGTCTAGGAATATCTTGATTCCCCAGGGCTTAAATGATGTCATCAGGACTTTGTTTCTCCCCAACCTCTTTTCCCATTTTTCAGCTGTTTATCCTTCATGTCACTTCAGAAAGAACCCCTTAAAAAGATAGATAATAGTTAGAGGACAGAGTCTTAGTTCTTAAACTGGTGCCTTATTGATCTGACTTGGGACACAGACCAACATGAAATACTAATCTCTTTTTTGTTTTAGGCAGATGTGGATCTCCTGATTGGTTAGGCTTGGGCCATATGCTCACCCTAGGAGACAAGGTGCAGGGTGGGGGTTATCTTCTGGAACCACAGGGACAAGAGTAGAAAACAATAGATGTTACATCAGAAAAGATTATATTGGACAATGAAAAATTCTCCTGTCAAAATCAATGGAATAAAAAGATTCTCTTTAGTATGGTTTTCTGAGATTCTTTGTGCGTTTCATTTTTTCAGTGGATACAGAGAATAATGGTTTTTTGGGTTTTTTTAAGTGTTTGTACACCTCTAGCAGTGTAGGCTCTACGAACACTAAGACATACATAATATAAATCGCATAAATTTGAAACATTTGAGAAATGTCTGTCACCCTACAAATGTAGGTACATCACATAAGCACTAGAGCTGAAACTAATTGTTAATGTACCTTGCATACCTTGATGCTTCTGGGTTGATCTTTTAATTTATTAGCACTTTTGTTGGATTTATATGCAATATTTATTTCCATATTTACATTAAGTGGGTTTACCATACTGAAAAGTTGATTTCAACATTAGGTTGACTATTATTCAAATTAGTCATGTTGGCACATTACATTCTAAACTATAATGTAGTAATTTAATTTTCCTTTGCCCTAGAAATGTTTAAAATACACATCCAAGTATTACTGGCATATCTGATATACTCAGTTAGGGTTACTTGAACTTAAGTTTTCGCTTAAATGCTGCCTCATGGCTAAATCAGAATTGTGAGTTGCCAACTTAAAATAGAACATAAAAATATGGTATGACTTATACCTTGCACTGACACCTTTTGGAGGACGTTTTGTTCTTCACCAATCATGGACTGTCTAAACAGTGATATCTATGGCTTGAAAACAGTTTACTCACATACAGGCAGTTAGAGGTGCTGGACGCTCCCATGACGTTTCCATTTAAGCATGGCCGGGCCACCCTGCTATCCTCTTAAACACACTGAAGGTACCTGAACAGGGTAAAATGTGACAGCCAGGGCAGGAGAGAGCTCCCTTTCTTTGTCACTGGATTCTTTGAATTAAGGGGAACTGACTGCTTTAGAAAGACTCGCCAACCTAGTATTGGTAACTGAAGATCATCATTTTCTAGCAACAGAAGGAAGACCATGCATGCGCTTCAAAGCCAACAAATCTCCCAAAGCAAACACCAGGGATCATGCACACAATGTAATTCTTACCCTCAGAAATTGCCCCCTTGCAGCTCTATATAGATAATCCTAGTGCTAGATAACGCAATTAGAAACCCTATGTATAAAACCATAATCAATCAATTATATTTTCAATTTTGTTTGTACATTTTAGAATTACCCCCAGTATTCTCTTGGGCTTGTGGTTTTCTGTATTTGAACTACTCTTTGTCTGTTTGCCAAATTTTTTACACACAGCGCTGATGTGCATAGTGCTGAAGTTGTGGAGGTCTGCTTATTAGTTACACTGTCTAATGAGGGCAGGAATGGGGTTCCTTTGATGATGTGTCGCTAGCTTTTGGCATAGGTCCTGGCATTTAGCAGGCATTCTGTGGCTAGCTAAGGTCTAGTCAGGTGTGTGTGGGTATGTGCATGCATCGGAATGCTATGCACAGATGGACGTATTTAATCCTCACAATACCTTTATGTGGTTGATATGATTTCTCTGCTGGTTTTATAGATACAGAAGCTGGAACTTGGTAAAGTGCAGTATTTTGCCTGAGATCTTAGAGCTAGTGATTGATATAATTGGGATTCAGCATCGGACTTCACCCCAGATCTTGTAACTACTCCGCTACAGAGTCTCTATAAATGTTCACTGACCAGATGCTTTGCTACATGAAGGAAAGAACCAGGATATGCTCTACTATACTATTCGGTTTCCATCTTTGCACCCAGTTCTGATCAGGATAGAGAGTGAAAAGTACAATGGTACCTCTGCTGCAGTTCTCTCTGCCACCAGCCAACCCTTCAGTCTGAATTTGCTCTGTTCCATATTATAAGCCAATAATTAACCTGAGTAACTCAGTTTTTTCCAGCATTTGGTTGGGCATCTACGTTGTTCAGAACAATGTGCTAGGTTTTCTTGGAGATAATTAATATTTGGAAATTCGCAGTCTCTTATTACATACACACATATATTTAGGGTATGGCTGATTCTGTAAGTATAGAAAAAAGGTTAAAAAATACATGCACACATACACATATACATACATACTCTGAATATTGGAAAAGCTTAATTTTAATTGTGGTGGGGTGGAAGCATCTTAGAATGTGTCTTGAATGATGAGGCATGTAAGAAGGTAAATTCCCTTGGTGAGCACAGGCCAGGCAGGATTACTTCTACCCAGGATGTTTGCTAATAATTTACAGCTGGACTCCTAAGTAACAGAGCTGATTAAAATATTACTCAGAGATAATAAGTGTATCAAGGTGTGCCAAGAGTTGTTTACAAAAAAAAATCATTTAAGAATTTACTATAATAGCTTTGGGGAATGTGAAAGAATGCGGAGGTAAGCACTGTCAGCCTATTCCTAGCTACCTAATCATCCAGTCACAAAATATCTGGACTTGGATGAGGAATTATCTTTAAATAAATAAAATCTTATTAAAACAATGATAACCTTCTTTAATATACAACTATTAGAAAAGATGAAATTATAGGTATTTTATGAATGTTATAAAATATTGTCAGTACCCCTTGGGGTGGGTTTGGGGGGTGTTTCCATCCAAGCCCTTTGAACCTTTTATACACTGGTCTAAAACATCATTATATTAACTATACAGTATTCTCAGAACATGTTTACTATAACTATACCTCAAAACCCATGGGATGACAGATTTTTTAAATTACTATGTTAGATATTATAGAGAAATCTTAAATGTATGAGTAACCTTTTCTGAAAAACAAAAGTGGGATGAAATATATTGGTAAAAGTATCCACTTATCTTGATTATTTTCATTTTACAACATACCTCTGTGTACCTTTGTGTTTTATTTTGCAATCTATAAAGAACTTGTCCATAATCACACAGTTATCTTTTCAATATTGAGATACTGTGTTTTTTAAAAATCAGTAGAGGTATTTTACTTAAGCATTGGCCAAGAAGAATGTTTACCACATATACAGTTTATATTCTTTCATGCTACAATATTTATAATCGGCCGAGCACAGTGGCTCACACCAGGAATCCCAGCATTTTGGGAGACCGAGGCCCAGGAGTTCAAGTGTATACATATATGTATGCAGGTGTGGTGGCACACAAGCGTGTAGTCCCAGTGACTTGGGAGACTGAGGTGGGAGGATCACTTGAGCCCAGTAGACGGAGGTGGCAGGGAGCTATGATTGAACCACTGCACTCCATCCAGCCTGGACAACAGAGCAAGACCTTGTCTCTTAAAAAAAAAATGTATAGATATATGTATACACACACGTGTGTGTGTGTGTGTGTGCGCGTGTATAACCTGAAATGATCTAGAAACTGGAAACTTCAAGTCTGGTTATAACAAAAAGGTTTTTAACCCTTTTTTTTTTTTTTTGAGACAGAGTCTCACTCTGTCACCAGGCTGGAGTGCAGTGGCATGATCTCCTGCCTCAGCCTCCCAAGTAGCTGGAACTATAGGCGTGCGCCACCACGCCCAGCTAATTTTGTATTTAACCCTTTCTTAAACTGTGAATACATGTGCACTCACCATCCTATTTTGTATACATAGAAAGCATGGTAAAAATATTGAATATTTCTTTTACACAAGTGATTTGCTGTATGTTGAGCAGCTCTCTGGGAGGTCAGATTATTTACCCACAGGAAGTGGATTGAGTAGGAATAAGTTTACTTCACAGATATACTAACTACTCTTTTTCACCCTATAACATGTTTTGTTTTCTTCTCAACCTATCAAGCAGATCTTTTCATGCTTTTCCATGGAAGAGCCAGTAATGGTAGTGAAGAATCACAAATTTCCCTGGATCTCTTGCCTGAAGCAGTTCTTCATAAAGACTCTTGTTTCGTACCGAAAAAAAAAAAAAAAGGAAACTTCTGTTCTGTTATACATTCATGCTTATTTTAGTTCACCACCCCCCAAAAAAAATTTAGTTACATCAAAGCTCCAGTAAGATGTGCCATATTAACTCTTGGGGTTTATACTTGCTAGGAAAAGGTTGTAACCCTCTGGGTGTGAATACCAACAATTACAGACTGTGTGAACATCCCTATGCCCTGGATATGTGGATGTCATAATTTGGGAAGAATGCCTTATAAGGTTGGTCAGTATTATCTAGATGTACAAGGATAGCAACCATGTTTCTTAATCCTAATGACTTTGCACATAGTAGGTACTCAGTGAGTGTTTAAATTAATTGTTTGTATGCACATTTCCTCATTGTCAATCAAGTTTTGTTTTGTTTCATTTTTGTTAATTACCTTTTTTTTAAATCTTTGGAATAATTGAGAAACGGGAAGCTGAGATTAGGGAAGAAGGAAAATAATAAACTGAATAATAGAAATAAACTGAGTAACAGAGAATAAGAAGAGAAAAGGAGAAGAGGAAGAGGTTATATTCATGAGGGTTGTTCAGAGAAACAGAACCAATAAGATTGACATGTGGGAAATGGCTCACACAATTATAGAGACTGAGAAGTCCCACTGTCTGCCATCTGAAAGCAGGAAACCCAGGAGTCAGCAGTGTAATTCACTGAGTCCGAAAACCTGCAAACAAGGCCACGGATGTAAATCCCAGTCCCAGGGCAGGAGGAGATAAGATGTTCAGCTCCAGCAATGAGGCAGGAAAAAAAGAGGGGCAAAATTTTGCTTCATTCACCTTTTGTTCTGTTAAGGCCCTCAGTGTATTGATGATGCCCACCATGGAGGGCAATCAACCTTACTGAGCCCACAAATTCAGATGCTAACTTCACCCAGAAACACCCTGACAGACACACACAGAAACAATGTTTAATATGGGTACACTTTGTCCCATCCAAGTCAGCACATCACACTGAACTACCTACAGAGACTCCTTTGCTTTTCAGCCACACTGGCTTTTGTCTTGGTTCTAAATACCCTCTTTCCTACCGCATGCTTTTGCACATGCCATTTCTTCTGAATAAATGTTGTTCCTTTCCCTGTTTCCTGAGCTAACTTGTAAGAACACTATTTCATCATCTCTTCCTCAGGGAAGACTCTTCTGAACACCCCATTAGTTCATGTGCTCAAAGCTCCAAATGCTTCTCTGCAGTCCTTATCAAATTTGAATTTTAGATTTGTTTGCACATATTTGATTGATGGGTGTCTCCTGCCTTTGGAGAAAAGGGACCGTGTTTGGTTTTGCTGCCAGCATAGTGAATGATATATAGCAGGTGTTCAATAAATTTGTCAATTGAATTTGTGACTTGTTTAATAGGGGCTGGTATAATTACAGGAGAGCATTCTCATAGTCTCAGGAGATCACCTAAGGTAGAGAAGGACTGAAGCTCTGTTTTCCCCACCGTATATGTTTGGGAAGATGGTGAAATTGTTAGTACCTGTGCACACCCAGTGAGAAGAACAAATTGTCTTATGTTTATACTTTATTTAAATGATAATCCTTCCACAAGACAATGACTACCGACTTGGAAGGCAAGAGATACTAAGTTTACTAATTACTTAAACACAAGGACTTCTAAATTTTGTAGAAGTCAGGTTATTACTGTGCTTTTGATAAATGTTTTTAATATATAATGATGTTGCGAGCCAAAGCCTACTCAGCTGCCTGGTGAGCTATACAACTCTGTGTTCCCAGGGAATATTTATCAAAAATGAGATTAATTTTAAAAGTGTTTTTCTCGTAACACGAAAAAGAAAATAATTAACCTTCACTGTTTATATTATTTACCTTAGAATGCCAGTGTATGTGGTATTGGGATACATGTCTATATAATTAAACTAGCAGCTAAGGCTTCCATATTCAGAATTAAGGTTTTAGCAGTAGAAGGAAATTAGTTTTGACTCTTCACTTTTACTTTCCTTAGCAGTGAACAGGGAGATCTACATGTTTTTTATGTTTTTAAAGGGAAGCAATACTGGTTTTAATTTCTCAGAAAATTTCCTCCTGACAACTGAGAGCAAAGGAAAAATTCAATACATTTTAGCACCTGATTATGTTCAGTCTTTTTCTAATTATGTCCTGTTCTGCTTGGAGTGTATCTGTGACATCATGGAACTTAAAAACCATACTGTAATTTAAACATCTAAAATTATTAATAATATTGCCCCTTTATAATCACCTTAGCAATTTGGGAACATTCTGAAGATGCTGGTTATTAAAATTTTTAATCTGCTTTTCAACTCCTAAGGCTAGTTCTTTTGAATATTCTCAATGGTGGCAGATATTTGTCCTATTAGAATGATTAAATTCTTGGAAATAGGAGTAAAAGGCATTTGGAGGTATTCTTTGTCTTTTGAATAAATGTAAGTGGTCGAGCCTTCTTGATTTCTTTAAGTTTTTTGTAGAAATTATGCTGTAAATCAGAGATTTGTCGTGATGATGTCAGGCATTGAGCTCTTTATGTGACATAAAGACTCCTTAGTTTCCAAATTTTTTTATGATGCCTATGATTAATGTTTGGACTTGTGAAATTTGGCACTACTCAGTTATTTTTAAATCAGCGATGGCCTCAGTCATCACTTTGATGAACCAGCTTGGTCTTGATATTTTTAACCCTAAACTTTTGTGCTTTCTTTCTATGTTAACTAAAAAAAAAAATCCTGTGTCATCACTGGCTATTTTTAAGTTTCCAGTGAACAATGACAATAAATGTCAAGTCTTTTACTCATTGAAAATCGATGGGCTAATTTTTCAAAACAAGATTCCTTTCCAAAGGGTTCTATATACTTCTAACTCCTCAGCCATGAATTGTCTTGTGACTGAATCAGATATCTGATCTTGCCCCATAAGGATTTTACCTCCTGCTGAGGGTGTTTCTATGGCTGTTTTATGCACCATCATTATTGTCTACCCAGTTAAACCGTGCTCTTGACATTGCTTCGTTTAATCTTTTCCTGCCACTGTTAACTCACTTGTCAATATGATTAACATTACTGAAAATTTGATATTAGCTATGTAATTATGAAAATTTGATATTAGCAATGTAATTACAGTGTTACAATGTAATGTATTTAATATATATCTTCTTCTAAATGCTTATTTTCATAAATTTTGTTTTATAATATCATCCTAGAAATCTTGTCCCACTGACTTTTCTCCTTACTATTAGGTTGCTATATGCACTTTTAATTCTTTTAACTGCTGCATTTTATCCATATGCTTTGGTCATTTCTCTGTTGGTTTTCCTGACCTTTTCTTGATAAATTGAAAATGTGTCTTATGTATTATATTTATAAATCTTTTGTAGTCTTTTGTTCCTGAAACTAAGTCTATAACCTGTTAACTTTGTGATGACCTTTGTTGATGTAGTCAACAATTTTCCCATTATAATTCGTGCATTTTAGATCTTTAATAAATTCTGCTTTTCACTGAAGTCGTAAAGATACTTTTGTACATTTCCTTCTATTAGTTTATAGTTTTATCTTATATATTCAGGTATTAAATTTTTCCGATGTTTTTCTGACTTAGGTAGAGAATCAAGTTCTACACAGCGAGTCCGTTTTTCCATCACTCCTTAATAAATAGTCTATCATTTTCCACTGGTTTGATATACCAAATGTATCATATCATGAGTATGTATATATATTAGGTTGGTGCAAAAGTAATTGCAGTTTTTGCCATTACTTTTAGTGGCAAAAACCACAGTTACCTTTGCACCAACCTAATATATGGGTTTGATTATAACTTGTAGCTTTATTCTTCTGCACCCTTTAACAGGTTAGGCTTTTAATTTTCTCTCCAGTACTCTGAGTTCCCTCTCCTTGTGTATGATACAATCCGGAAATTTGCTATGGCACTTGCAGAGCTCACCTCATTTTTACGTTCTTTCAGAGTTCTCTGTCCTTATTGTCCAAAGTCTGAAAACCTTTGTCTCATGTTTTACTGGGTTTTCTGATTGTTTAAGGTAAGAGGGTAAATTTCATACCTGTTATTCCACCACTGTTGTAAGCAGACATTCATTTTTTAATTTCTCAGTAGAATCCTTAGCTTGCTTATTTTCATTCTTTCATTAGACGTGAAAAAATCTATTTAAATCTCTATATCATGCCCTACTGCTTTTAGATGCAGCTCACACAGCCTCGGACATGCAGAACTCTCACTGTCATTCAGCTCTTCAGTGTTTTGTCATTTTTCTTGCTAGTTCTTGCTTGTTCCACTTTATTTAGCTGTGAGTTCATTTAACTATTTTTTTCCTGACATGCTTTTAGATTCCTTTTTATTACTAATTTAAAATTGTATTGAATTTTACTTAGAGGTTGCATAGGTTGATTCTTTGGAGACTTTTTTGAGACGTCCTTTGTGGTCTAATACATAAAATATTCATATATTCTTGAAAGGAATGAGTAAGATTTATTGGATAAAGTTTTTACTGTATATACATATATTTTAGATTGTTACTGGTGTCATTCACATTCTTTTCATATTGGCTTAGTTTTTTCTACTTGATACGTTTCTAAAAGATGTATTACAATTTCTAATGAAAGATTATATGTTTCTCCCCACATTTCTGTCAGTTAGTAGTTACATATCACATGTATGTATACTTACTAGTATTATATCTTATTAATATATTATTCTTATGAACAAATTATGTATCTTTTCTCCTGAAATTGCTTACTGTACTATTTAAATTGCTACTTAATATTTCATTTGGTTAATACTTATGTATTTTTTGTCCATCTCTTCCATCAACCTTTCTTTGTCTTTTGTGGACAATTTAATGCTAGATTTTTTTTTTTTGTAAATCAAATCTAAATCAGTCTTTTGATGACTAAATTTGAAAAATATATGCTTATTGTATTTATTATTGTATGGAGGCTTATTTCTCCCATCTTATTTTAGTTTTTATTCATCGTACTTTATTGTTTATTTTTTCGATCTTTTCTATGTTCTGTCATGTTGACAACTCAGATTTTAAACTTTTTGTTTTTAAGTTACAAGGTCTATTGTTCTCTTATCTCTAACTTAAGATTCATTGCATTTGTTTTTTTCTTCCAATGTGTAAAAGTTAATCTGTCTTCCCCTGCAATAAGAAACCTCAGTAGTCTTTCAACTCACTCCTCTACTATGATCTCTTTTTCTTTCATGTTGGCATCATCTGGAGTTTTCATTCTATATGTTTTTTGCTTACTCAGGTAACAATAAATTTACTAAGGTATTTACTCTCCATTGGTTACCTTATCTCTTGGCTTTCTCTGGAATGCACTTCTCTTCTTGTTGGAACACATCTTTCAAGATATCTTTCAAAGAGGACTCATCATTATGTGATATACTTTATAAGACAAAGAAGCCACTAGTACTTCTTCCTACGCCATAAATCTGTGGTCACATATAAAACTATTCTGTTTCTTTACTCATTTGTTCAACGGCTATGTTGTATGTAGGCCACGTACTTGTCCTAGACCTGAGAAAAGAAAGTCAACAAAAATCTTTGCCTACTAACGTTTACACAAGACACAGCAGGGAGGGGCAGAGGATACTCGAGGCCAGATCAGCAGTTCCTGGCAATGGCCCCACACTATGGCAGGGCTCCAGAGCTGCCAGGATATTGCCATGTAGTTTCTGGATGGCACTGAACAGGTTCTGCTGCTTTCTCATTATAATAACTGGGCAAGTGATATTTTTACTAGGCAACTCAGAGAAAAACAGGCCAACTAGAGAGCTCTTCCCAATCCATCCCTAATCTGTGGCTACTGAATCTTCCTCGATTATAACTTTTCTATCCATATTAGGATATTAGGATAACTTCTTCCTGCTTCCCCAAGGTTTCTTGGCTGTAGTTGTAGTGTTTGTTTTATTTGCTAAGTTTGGTTCTGAAAACTGCCAAGATCCCATATTGTTTGTAGTATCTCTGGGATTTGGCTGGGAAAGTAATCCGACTACCCATGGTAGTTTTCCTTCTTGTCCAGAATTGATAGTCCTCACAGAATATATTATTATTATTATTTACTATTATTATGGGATGTGAATGCCAATGGCAGTCAATGCTGAGAGAGTTTTCACAGATGATTATCAAGCACATCCTTAATTTTAAAGAGAACATCTAGGAAGCTCAATTATATATGTGGTCTGTTAGCCTATAAATGATCAGAACCTTTGGAAAATTATATCTATTGAATTCCTAGGAAGGTTGATCATTGTGGGGAAAAAGGAACTGAGTGGAGGAGCTGAGGATCAGGGTGGTCCTGGGCCATTTCTACCTGGTTCCAAATCTGGTTCAGCACCTACTTCCAGCCCTCATGGGAGTCAGAAGAGACTGCTGTGTGGTAAGTGTCAGAATCAGCCCTGAATTTCTGAAGAAGCAAGCTCAGGGAGCTCTCATAATGATTACTACATAAACAAACCATACTGTCCATCTGAAAGCATCCTGGCAATGTGTCTTGCTCACCTTCTTTGATTCTAATTCCTTTCCTACCCTGTCTGTTCTCTCCTAATTTTTAGACATACCCCCACCGTCTTTGGCTCATTGAATTTCCAGCTAAAGGAACCTAATTTTATATTTCCTATTAGTTTGGTGGTCAGTAATTTCTTTGATACTCAGAAACTTCTCAGAGCCTATGTCTGGGAAGGGCACCAACACTGCAAAAGATAGTGGAAACAGACTTTGTCCTGATGCATTCAGAAAAATAAGGGGAAAAATGTGAATTTGGGGTACTGTACTTACATTGAAAGCAATGTCAGTTGCAGGCTGAAACAAAAGCCAAGGAAGGGTAAAGCCTGTATTAAATCCCCTTTTATGATTCCCCGACACTTTTTTTCTTTTGTTCTCTAACTTGTATTAAATCTGTTTATCATAGAGATAGACAACAGGATGAGATTACAGTATCCTAAAACAACAAAATAAGATACATGACTGTGACAAAAACAATCGTTACATTTAGTGACCAAACAACAAAATAGTTGAACTTAAAATAGTCTTAAGTGAAAAAGACATTGGTGGTATTCCAAAGCCAGCTCACTTAAGCAAAGCGTGGGTATTAATTTTTAAAAACTCATTTTTTTTAAGATAAATATAGTCGTGTTCTTGCCAAGGCCAACATTTTCATGTTCACTCTGTTAAATGCTGTGTCTAGCAGGAACACATATTAGAGTGCAAAGTAACTTAAGCTCTTGAGAGATTGATGAGATAACATTTCTGACCTAATTTTTGTTTGTTTGTTTTGTTTTGAGAGGAAGTTTCACTCTTGTTGCCCAGGCTAGAATGCAGTGGCACGATCTTGGCTCACTGCAACCTACACCTCCCAGGTTCCAGCGATTCTCTTGCCTCAGCCTCCTGAATAGCTGGGATTACAAGCACCTGCCACTACACCTGGCTAATTTTTGGTATTTTTAGTAGAGACGGGGTTTCACCATATTGGTCAGGCTGGTCTTGAACTCCTGACTTCGTGGTCCACCTGCCTCACCCTCCCAAAGTGCTGGGATCACAGGCATGAGCTACCACACCTGGCCTACATTTCTGACTAAAATTTAAAATTTTAGCCATGTTATCCTCCCTTTGCCTAACCAATTAATTAAACCACACATATAGTCATACATAGCCCCTCTGGTTGTAGTAGGGAATGCTTTTCCTATCAGAAAGTCTTAGTGAATCATAACTTCTTGAAATTAGAACCTGAGTCCTGCAGCTGTCCACTTTTTCTGTGGGTTCCCAAGGCTGTTGATTTCCTCTGCCATAACAGATGGAATGCAAGAGAACAGAAGAGAATATCCATCTAACAGGAGGCAAGCCCATTAGTATTCCAAATGTATTCATATATTAAAGCCAGGCAATGGTTACATCTGAAAAAAATTCCTTAGACTTATCAAAGCTTCACCTATAACACATAGGCAGCTTGACAATGGTTATATCCTCAAAAAAAACCTTGACTTTTCTCCAAGTATTAACTTTACCACATAGGTGGTTAGAGCATCAATGCATAGTTTATCATCTGTAAGTATAGAAGAAAAGACCTTTTGCTTCAGAGAAATGGTTAAGTTATAAAGATACAGATATATTTATTAAAATACAGCCATTATTAAAGATGGACATGCATGTCATAATAAATAGTAGCACTTTCTAGGGTTGCTAGGGTGTTTGTGCTTCATTTGATTATTCAAGATGGAAATGTGTTTGTACATGACACAGTAGATAGTCCTGCACGAGGAAGCAGGGGACAGGGTTCTAGTTCTTCTTCTAAGGGCTGTTGAGAGAGTCAAATAACACTAATGTATCTAAGGACCCTTCTTAAAAAGGTAAAAATTGTAGTACTTTTTTAAAAAAGATATCTATGATTTATTTATTACTTTCACCTGGGAACACGGAACTAGGAGTTGAATGGGAACATTTATGGATTACCTGTGTATCCAGGGAGGCACACTCTATGTTATTTACTCTCTTAAAAAAAAAAAAAAACAAACTGTAAGAAGAGTAATGAAAAGAAAACGGATAACTCATTGAGTTCCCACACTGCAAATTACCTACTGTTTCTCGTTTAATTCTCAGTAAAATCCTATATGTCTCACTAGCACCATTTAAACAACTTAGATTAAATAAATTATTCTGTGCAGAACACTTAGTGGGGGCTGAAATTAAAAATCAGATCCCCTTGACTACCATGACTTCACAGCTTAGGCTGTTTCACATTCACCTTATTTCAGAATCTTCATTTCTACATAAAGACTTGCATTTATTCATAAAGCCAACATTGTGTTTTGATAACTCTGGACATGTTTATAACAGGTCTGTATGTATTTAATGAGTGTTCTGAAATACTATGGCAATAAATTAAAGATGAACATATTCTTCTGAAATATTCATGGTAGGCAAAACAAAGAGCACCAAATCCAGAAAAATTGAATGGCGATTTTTTTTTCCACCTTATTGACAAATGCAAGCTGTTCATATTTTGTTATTTGGTGAATTTGCTAGTCCCATTGTAAATGTCATCCTCCTCACCCTGTAAAACTGATTCAGAGAAGAAAGCCTATTTAAGATAGAATTTAGAAATAAGAAATGACTTATAAAAGAATTATATGATTAGGAAGTATTGTACATTTAGACCTCACAACAGTGTATAATAGAAAAATTGTAGTGTAATTATTTAATTTTTATTTGGAAATTGAATGCAAAATATTCATTTTTTCAACTGTTATTAATCTCTATCCTGGAGGTTTCCAAACATGAAAAATACATATATGTCACTGTATTCCTTGTGAGCACAACTTGCCTCTGCTCCCATGAAATTATACCCTTTTAAATATAATCAAGTAAAAAAAAACTCTTTCTTTATGCTTATTAATTTTTTAAATCCTGATATAGCCCATCTCTGATATGTCTGTATTCTTCACGTATCAATAACTGTTCAGGCCATATTACCAGCTAAGTGCCCGTTCTGAATTGCCCCATAGAGTTGCCTTCCATCTTCCTCATGCTTTTCATACAAGGTCTGTTTTCCTGGTCCTCCCAAATACCAAACCCTGCTTTTTACCTTACCTCTATGCTCAAGACCTGACAGTAATTGTGGTGTAAGGAAGAGTGTGGGTCTGGATATAAGGGTGAGAGTGAAAACCCAGCTTACCACCATCAAACTCTTAACACCAGGATCCTGGTACTTTTGCATCCCTAGTTTCTTCCTTATGACTTTCATCTCACCTCTGCCCCTCCTCATCCTCCTCAGCCACATCCTGGCTTTCTTCCCCTCCCCTCCCCGCCTTGCCTTTCTTCTCCTTTCTCTCCTTCTCTACTAACACAATCTATTGCTTCAGCTCCAGGTATTTCTTTTTCCTCGGGTTCTGAGGAACAAAATGCAGCCACACAGTTTCCTCTGTACTCATAACACCAGAGCAAGCTCCTAACTCTGTAGTTGTCTGGGGGGTTTTATTATTAAAAACATTAGGAAATAATGGAATAATTAACAGGAAGAAAACAGTCTCTGTACTCATAACCCCAGAGCAAGCTCCTAACTCTTTGTAGTTGTTTGGGGGGTTTTATTATTAAAAACATTAGGAAATAATGGAATAATTAACAGGAAGATAATAGTCTCATTTCAAGGATTAAAGTTGTTACCTGAGATGGCTCTTTGTGTATCCAGAGATACACCATTAGACTCTACATCACTATCATGCAGCTTTTTCTGTCTCCTCATTGTCAGAATAAATTAAGAGAAAAAGTGAAATCTAGGAAGAAAGGGGCCCGCTCTCTCCGATCCTGGTAATAGATAAGTCTATGTGGTTCTTCTGGCCAGGGAATTGTGGTTCATGAATTTTGCATCCCTGAGAAGTTCCTATGTGGCTCCCACCATAGCTGCAATAGACTGAAACTTTTGGAGGCGTAGTTGTAAAGGTGGAAAGTGCCGGGAAAAAGAATGGGTGGGTTGGGAGCATTGATTCTAAGGCTCCATTCTCTTTCCAGTACCCAGGGGAGGCAAGAACGCTCAGAATGAAGCAGAGAAAGTGGAGAATCAGGCAGGTTCATTCCAGTGGCGTGTAAGATAATTTAATCCAAGACATGTGTCCAATCCACATACTTTCCAGACATTTACAGCTTCCTGTTTCACAGGTCAGAGGGCTTTCTGCAGGAGGATGGTTGGTGAGATGCACCTCATTCTATTTCCAAAGTAATGGGTAGGTGAATTGTAATCTATGGGTAGAGGAATTGTAATCTTAACACTCAAAATTAGATCATCGTTTAACATACTTTTCCATTAAAACATCACTCTACATTATGGGCAGATTCTATATTAGTAGTATATATCAGGTACATTATGGTTTTGATAGAGTTTTGTAGGAATCCTAGGGCACTGAGGTCCATTTTTCTGTAGAAAACTCTTCTTGAGTGCTACACAAAAAGATTTTTGGAGTCTTATAAATTATGGATTGGCTTGTAAACTCAAAAAATATTTTCTCTTTCTTCATTGAGAAAATTAGGAAAATCAGCATGAACAATTTAAATTTGCTCACTACATCTATGAATAATACATATATGTTCTCTTTCATCATTTTGCATGTGGGTGGATTATCATGGAAGTGAAAATATTTGAAAGACTAAATACAAATCTCTACTTGTAAGAGCTAATAAGTGGCTTTCTTATTTAGAAGATTTGTGTGTTATTTTGAAATACAAAGAAAATTACAAAGGATTACTAAAATGTAGTAACTACAACTAATTAAGCATGAATATGATAGCATGTAAATACAGTCAAACTTCTACTTATATAAATTGATTTATGGGTTAATTTGCATTGTATCTTCTAATAAATAACTCACTATATACACTGGAAAAAATCTAAGAGACAAAAATTGGAGCAACTGATTTTTCTATTTATAAAAAGAATCAAATAAAAATATATTTTGCTTCCTAATGGACCTTGCAAAACAAAGTTTTTTTACTTTATCTTCCCTCATAATTGTTTTGCCTGTTTTCATACTTCAAGGGATATTGGGCAAAAATGTTACTGTCACCATCTCCACTTTATCAACGTTCAATTTAAAATAATCGTAGAAGACCTATGAATCCCCCACATTTAAGTAGCTCTCACTTTAATAAGAATTTTAGTAATTGATTTAATATTTACATGGCCTGAATAATGCAACTGAGATTTTCTGCCTCCACCCCATCCTCATCCTTTTGGTTGCCTGGAAACATACAACCAAGTATAGACCCAGCAGGACAGAAAACTAGGTTTAACTTTCACAGAAACTGATGAAATAAAATGGTTTCTTTCAAGTTAAAACTGTTTCTTTCAAGTTGAAACTGTTTTTTTCAAGTTTCATATTTCAGTGGACAAGTGTGTTAAATGCTGTAACTTTCCCCTGGATAACACTGGGGAAAGTTATCTAGTGACTTTCATATCTATTGTGTGTAGGTATGCATGTGTACATATAAATGTGCATATCAAGGCAATCCCCATAAACAGCAGGAGGACTGACAATGACTGACTTCTGATGAAATTTAGTTTACAAGCTTGTCTAGTTATTCACACAGTGATTTGGTAATAATTCAGGTAGTAATTTGCCCATAGCCTCAATTTCTTTCCTAATAAATGATAGTTGGAATTACTGACTTCAAGAATTGAAAATTGGGATTATTAAACCTATAGGAAGCTGTGCTAAGATGAACTCAGTTGAAAACAAAGTTCAAAGTTCTGTATCTGCAAGAATTAGATTTTGTCCAACATAGGTGAATTTTATTACAAACAAGTTTGTCTATCGTGATAAAGTTGTCATGTTTTTAGCATTTATGGTGTTTTACAGATTATGAGAGTCCTCTTAATCAGCTGTTATATTTCAATAGGGAAACAAAATTAGGAATATACTTTTTATACCAAATATAGTGTAACCTGACAGAAATTTTTAGTCACAGCTAAAGAGGTGTTAAAATTTTCAAAGGACATCTCATCTGTGAGAGACAGTAGAATAAGTTATCCATAGAAGTGTAGTTTTTTTTTTTTTCTGGGCATTTTAATAAAGGCCTAGTACCTTTTGAAGGCCTGTTTCAATTTGTGGCAGACTTTTTTCTTTAGGTTAAAAAGATATACATGATTGCTTCCTGAGATTTCTCTAGCTGTGTGATTCTGTAGCATGTTTTAAAATATTAATGTTTATAGACATAAGATGTCTTAAAGGATAGCATCCTATATTAAAATCAGCAGCATTTGCAAGACTAATAATGAGGAAAATTCACTCATACACATTTACTGTACTTTGATTCAAAATGCCTTATTTACTTAAAGGTAGTATTCTTAGACCATATTTGTAAATGAGAAAGAGAAAAATGCCACAAAATGAAGCAACTCTTCTAGAAACTTAATTAAAATCATGATGATACATTCAGCCTGGAGTTTAGTTTTATTTTCAGCTAGTCATCTGCAGCCATGCTTCCCACAGAGGAAGGTTGCCAGGCCCACAGCGCACTGTGCAGCTTGGATGAGCAGTATTACAGGCTGTTTATGAGCAGATTACATCTGGGATCTGTGGAGAGCAGCCAGAGCAGCAAGACAGAGATGATGAATGCAGGGTGTGTTCTAGGTAGATTTTCTAGCCACCAAAATGCTCATCACTTTTCTTTAGTACAGTGTTCAGAGTATTATAAAAACAAAGCATTTTTCTTAGTTGTTCACAGTAGGACCAGCAAGTTACTCTGGTTTTTAAATTCTGATTTTAAAATTGTTCATATGAACAGAAGTCTCATTCTGTGGGCATATTTGTGCATTCTTCAAGTTAATTTGGTGGCTTGTCACTAAAGCAGTAAACTAGTTTTAGCTCTAGCAACTGAAGCAGCCATTCTACAGTTGAGATTGGGATAGTTTGCCTGCACGTCTGTATCAAAAAGTGGCATGCCTTATGTGTGTGTGCATGTACCATGTTCAAGGGAGCAGCTACACAATGACGAGGCAATGCAGAAGACCTGTTCATCCAGGGGCAGGGCACATTTCCATCTTGGGATATAGGTATTCATTCAACAAATATGCACTAAAGAAGTAGCATGCACTTAGAAGTCCAGATATTAAAATAAATAGAACATTTTCTAGTTCCCCTGTGGCTTGTAGTCTAGTTTACTTGGTTGCAGCAAAGCAGGGCATATAAGGACAGGCTGGAACCTGAAATGAGCTCTGTCTTCCATGAGAAGAAGGCACGTGATAGGACATTAAACTCATCTGCAACATCTGTGTGGATATCCAGTCCAGTAAACAAGAGCTTTCTCCATGGAAGGTGGCAAGTGGCAGTTGGCATATGAAAGAGAGAGTGTCCTAAGTTAAGGTCTTGAAGTATACCATAAGAAAGGCAATATGCAGAAAACAGTTAACATGGCAGGCCTGGGACTACTGTCCTTAGAAAGACCTGCTCACAAGGTTTGCTTTTGCCTGGAGTTTGAGAACTGAATAATCAACAGTTTCCTACACTGATATAAAACTTTTCCTAAATGGCAAGAGTGGTTCACTGTGTCTAAACTACAATGTGGTTTCTGCTGAACATCTGCCTTCCATTTGGCTACATGCTGGGCAGAAGGTGCTTCTACGACTAGCCCCCAGTAAAAACCCTGGGCACTGAATCTTTAATGAACTTCCCTGGTAAACAACATTTCTTGCCACAAATTATTGCTAAAGAAAGAAGTGCATCCTGTGTAACCCAATGGTAGAAACCCTTGGAAGCTTGGGCTTGGCTTCCTCAACTTCACCACCTGAACCTGTGACCTTTGCTCTGTGTTCTTTTCCTGTGTATAATCAGTAAGACTGAGGGTGGTCTTGGGCACCTCCGACACAGACAGAATCTAGATTGCAAGCTGTTAGGTAGCTGCAGGAAATCTGATAAATAGCAGTATCCTGTCTGTTGTTCTTTAGTCCAAATATGAGACTCCAAGGGATATCAGTCCAGTTTGATAGGCTGCTTCATCACGTCCCCAGTAAATATAAGAGGCCACTCAATCTTCCTTCTTTTCCTACCCATTAGTTTTGAGTGATAGAAAACTTAAGCTAAATGGGAATTATTTGATTCTCATAACTGAACAATCTAGGAATAGAGCTTGCTTCAGTTGGATGCACAGCTCAAATGATGTCTCCATTTCTGGGGCCTGCTGCTTCTTTGCTGGTTATATATATCCTTGTTATCAGAAGATGCCTGTAGAAGCCCTAGGCTCACATTTTCCCTCCAAGAGGGAAAAGCCAGAGTTGAAAACTAGAACTCATGAGTTTGGTTTTTGCCACGTACCTACCTCTGTACCACATACGGAGGGACCCCAGAATCTTGTCATGAGCTTCCCTCACTCTTCCCAAAAACACAGGGCCTAGAATGGCATTTTTCAGAAGTTGAGTAAAGAGATACTGGGGGGCCAGAATCACAGCAGATGTTTACTACTCCCATTACCCCTATCAAGTAAGAATCACTAGTTTACCTGATAAATTTTATGAATATGTCTTCAATGTTTGTACACCTTTTGGAAAAATGCTTCCTGAAATAGCTAATCTGTCAGATATAGCATTTTGATTAAAGTACCCCATACATAGATTAGTGCCCATTTCTGAAATCCTCTTTTTGTATTCCAGTGAAGTCCTGTATCTAAATTCATAGGATAGATGTAATATTCAGGTTCATAATGCTATTCAGATTTTCTGTATGATTAGGCCTATGCCTATCAGACCAATTTAGATTTCAGCCTTGTTTTCCTATCTAGACTCACTAATTGGACTCATTATTACGATGTTCCTATGGCCTTTTAATTCTGAGTCATACTCATATTACTCATCTCCTGAGCACAGTAATTTAACTTTCCATCACCTTGAAGAAAGGAGATTAGCTTTTTATGAACAAACATTTCCTGGAACGTAGTCAACAGTTTGTGTGCAACTCAACAGGGAATAAGATGCAACTCAATAAGGAATAAGGTAATGACTTCTTAAGAGAATTTATTTCCTGGTTGCTTATTTCTTTGAGTTTGAATGTGAGACTGCTATGCCACTCACCTCATTCATAGTAGATAACTAAAACTATATAAACTATGTAAATATAAAATTATTTAAATCCCATTATATCTTTTTTTAATCTTAGTGTCTAAAGGTAAATGAAGGTGACGCATTTGGGATATTTTAGTTATAAGGCAGTGCAAAAAGAAAAAGTTAGCCTTTACCACTGAAATGTTCAAACTACTTTAGACACATCTTTTTCTAGATTTCACTTTTGTGAGGACAAGATAATTTCTTCTCATTTGTGATTTTATTTTTAGTACACCTGGTAGTGCTTAAAAACATGAGATCTTCCATGGTGTATATCAGAGATATGCCACTGTTTAATTTATTACAAGAAGTATGAACTGAGTATTGAAATAACATTGCACACTGATAGGGAGAGAAGACACATTTCAAGTTTAAAAATAGTTCTCTTCATGTGTATGTACATATCTTTTCACTCTTCTTTTTTTTAATTTTTATTTTATTATTATTATACTTTAATTTTTAGGGTACATTTGCACAATGTGCAGGTTAGTTACATATGTATACATGTGCCATGCTGGTGTGCTGCACCCATTAATTCGTCATTTAGCATTAGGTATATCTCCTAATGCTATCCCTCCCCCCACCCCACCCCACAACAGTCCCCAGAGTGTGATGTTCTCATTCCTGTGTCCATGTGTTCTCATTGTTCAATTCCCACCTATGAGTGAGAACATGCGGTGTTTGGTTTTTTGTCCTTGCGATACTTTGCTGAGAATGATGGTTTCCAATTTCATCCATGTCCCTACAAAGGACATGAACTCATCCTTTTTTCTGGCTGCATAGTATTCCATGGTGTATATGTGCCACATTTTCTTAATCCAGTCTATCATTGATGGACATTTTGGTTGGTTCCAAGTCTTTGCTATTGGGAATAATGCCGCAATAAACATACGTGTGCATGTGTCTTTATAGCAGCATGATTTATAGTCCTTTGGGTATATACCCAGTAATGGGATGGCTGGGTCAAATGGTATTTCTAGTTCTAGATCCCTGAGGAATCGCCACACTGACTTCCACAATGGTTGAACTAGTTTACAGTCCCACCAACAGTGTCAAAGTGTTCCTATTTCTCCACATCCTCTCCAGCACCTGTTGTTTCCTGACTTTTTAATGATTGCCATTCTAACTGGTGTGAGATGGTATCTCATTGTGGTTTTGATTTGCATTTCTCTGATGGCCAGTGATGATGAGCATTTTTTCATGTGTTTTTTGGCTGCATAAATGTCTTCTTTTGAGAAGTGTCTGTTCATGTCCTTTGCCCACTTTTTGATGGGGTTGTTTGTTTTTTTCTTGTAAATTTGTTTGAGTTCATTGTAGATTCTGGATATTAGCCCTTTGTCAGATGAGTAGGTTGCGAAAATTTTCTCCCATGTTGTAGGTTGTCTGTTCACTCTGATGGTAGTTTCTTTTGCTGTGCAGAAGCTCTTTAGTTTAATTAGATCCCATTTGTCAATTTTGGCTTTTGTTGCCATTACTTTTGGTGTTTTAGACATGAGGTCCTTGCCCATGCCTATGTCCTGAATGGTATTGCCTAGGTTTTCTTCTAGGGTTTTTATGGTTTCAGGTCTAACGTTTAAGTCTTTAATCCATCTTGAATTAATTTCTTTGTATAAGGTGTAAGGAAGGGATCCAGTTTCAGCTTTCTACATATGGCTAGCCAGTTTTCCCCACACCATTTATTAAATAGGGAATCCTTTCCCCATTGCTTGTTTTTCTCAGGTTTGTCAAAGATCAGATGGTTGTAGATATGCAGTGTTATTTCTGAGGGCTCTGTTCAGTTCCATTGATCTATATCTCTGTTTTGGTACCGGTACCATGCTGTTTTGGTTACTGTTGCCTTGTGGTATAGTTTGAAGTCAGGTAGCGTGATGCCTCCAGCTTTGTTCTTTTGGCTTAGGATTGACTTGGCGATGCGGGATCTTTTTTGGTTGCATATGAACTTTAAAGTAGTTTTTTCCAATTCTGTGAAGAAAGTCATTGGTAGCCTGATGGGGATGGCATTGAATCTATAAATTACCTTGGGCAGTATGGCCATTTTCACAATATTGATTCTTCCTACCCATGAGCATGGAATGTTCTTCCATTTGTTTGTATCCTCTTTTATTTCATTGAGCAGTGGTTTGTGGTTCTCCTTGAAGAGGTCCTTCACGTCCCTTGTAAGTTGGATTCCTAGGTATTTTATTCTCTTTGAAGCAATTGTGAATAGGAGTTCACTCATGATTTGGCTCTCTGTTTGTCTGTTATTGGTGTATAAGAATGCTTGTGATTTTTGCACATTGATTTTGTATCCTGAGACTTTGCTGAAGTTGCTTATCAGCTTAAGGAGATTTTGGGCTGAGACGATGGGGTTTTCTAGATATACGATCATGTCATCTGCAAACAGGGACAATTTGACTTCCTCTTTTCCTAATATAATCCCCTTTATTTCTTTCTGCCTAATCGCCCTGGCCAGAACTTCCAACACTATGTTGAATAGGAGTGGTGAGAGAGGGCATCCCTGTCTTGTGCCAGTTTTCAAAGGGAATGCTTCCAGTTTTTGCCCATTCAGTATGATATTGGCTGTGGGGTTGTCATAGATAGCTCTTATTATTTTGAGATACGTCCCATCAATACCTAATTTACTGAGAGTTTTTAGCCTGAAGGGTTGTTGAATTTGGTCAAAGGCCTTTTCTGCCTCTATTGAGATAATCATGTGGTTTTTGTCTTTGGTTCTGTTTATATGCTGGATTACATTTATTGATTTGCATATAATGAACCAGCCTTGCATCCCAGGGATGAAGCCCACTTGATCATGGTGGATAAGCTTTTTGATGTGCTGCTGGATTCGGTTTGCCAGTATTTTTTTCAGCACCACCCCACACCTATTCCAAAATTGACCACATAGTTGGAAGGAAAGCTCTCCTCAGCAAATGTAAAAGAACAGAAATTATAACAAACTGTCTCTCAGACCACAGTGCAATCAAACTAGAGCTCAGGATTAAGAAACTCACTCAAAACTGCTCAACTACATGGAAACTGAACAACCTGCTCCTGAATGACTACTGGGTACATAAATAAATGAAGGCAGAAATAAAGATGTTCTTTGAAACCAACGAGAACAAAGACACAACATACCAGAATCTCTGGGACACATTCAAAGCAGTGTGTAGAGGGAAATTTATAGCACTAAAAGCCCACAAGAGAAAGCAGGAAAGATCCAAAATTGACACCCTAACATCACAATTGAAAGAACTAGAAAAGCAAGAGCAAACACATTCAAAAGCTAGCAGAGGGCAAGAAATAACTAAAATCAGAGCAGAACTGAAGGAAATAGAGACACAAAAAACCCTTTAAAAAGTTAATGAATCCAGGAGCTGGTTTTTTGAAAGGATCAGCAAAATTGATAGACCGCTAGCAAGACTAATAAAGAAGAAAAGAGAGGAGAATCAAATAGATGCAATAAAAATGATAAAGGGGATATCACCACCAATCCCACAGAAATACAAACTACCATCAGAGAATACTGCAAACACCTCTACGCAAATAAACTAGAAAATCTAGAAGAAATGGATAAATTCCTCGACACATACACCCTCCCAAGACTAAACCAGGAAGAAGTTCAATCTCTGAATAGACCAATAACAGGCTCTGAAATTGTGGCAATAATCAATAGCTTACCAACCAAAAAGAGTCCAGGACCAGATGGATTCACAGCCGAATTCTACCAGAGGTACAAGGAGGAACTGGTACCATTCCTTCTGAAACTATTCCAATCAATAGAAAAAGAGGGAATCCTCCCTAACTCATTTTATGAGGCCAGCATCATCCTGATACCAAAGCCAGGCAGAGACACAACGAAAAAAGAGAATTTTAGATCACTCTTCTTTTCCTTCTCTCCTTTCCTTTTTCTTCCATTTTCCATTTTATATACAAGGGTGAAGAACATGCTAAATATCCTATTTAAACATCCAAAATGTGTGAAGTTACCCCATTTGCACATTTAATTTGTTCATGCTGTGAGAGAATAATTGAGAGAGATGTAAGTAGTGTGGGTGACTCTGGTTCCATTCCATGAACACATGCCCCAGATTGAGCAGTCAAATGGGAGATTGCAATCTGCAGTTTTCTCATAAGGTCTCAATGCCTTGTATGTCTCTCATAGTGTGAGTATCAGGCTAACTTGAGTCTGATTCTTCAATTTGAAGACACAGATGTTACAATAAAAATGTCCCTAAAGACAAGCCAGCTATTTTGCCTGGTGTTTAGCTGAAGGAATAGTAATCTGTTCAATGATAGAGGGGGGAAAAGCGTGGCTACTATAGAACTACTGAGTGGCAGAATATGGTATGTCATTCTCCAAATGGACACACAAACACTGGTTATTTTACTTTACAGGTAAATCAAGGATTTTCTAGCATGAGATTTGTAGAACCTAAACATTCCCATTGTATCATATTCATCACCATCCATGCTTCACCCTAATGTTTTGGGCATGTGGGTGTATAAGGCTTGTCTTATATTTTCGAAAGAGTTTCTTCTTTTCATTGGTTCTTTTCTGTGCAGTAATTTGATAATAGGTATCTATAGTCTTAAAAAGAGACATTAAACCCATCATATTTACTTCTAGAAATTTATCCTAAGGGAATACTTCTACAAATGGAAAGCTGTACATGTATGTTCACCAGAAGGCTTTAAATAAGAACAAAAATTATATTCCCAACAACGGATTGTTTGCTAAAGCCTCCTCAATATAATGATGTACTATTCAGTCATTAAAAATAATTGTTATGATTAATAATAACTGATAACATCTCTTAAGTGTTTATTATGTGCCAAGCATATAATAAACTTACATGTATTATTGTAGAAGAATTCAAAATTCTTATATTTCATAGATCTACATAAAAATGTCTTATATATTGTATTTTTATGTATTCAGTTTAAATATGCACATATACATTTTGTGATTTATGAAAATATTATAGAAAAAAGTCTTCAAACAAATGTAAGTAATGATTAAAAGTAAATGAAGGAAAATGATTTTTTAAAATATTTTTTGTTTTCTAAGTTTCTCTACAGTGAAGATATTACTCCATTAGGCCAATTAATTGCAAATTTAAATGAAAATTCACTGAAATTAAATAAAATAAAAAATTCACCTTCTCAGTATGCTAGCCATATTTCTAGTGCTCAAGAGCTGCATGTGGTTGGTTCCTGCCATATTGGACATTGGACAGAGCAGATAAAAAACATTTCCATCCCCACACAGGGATCGATTACACAGTGGTGCCTAACCTTTGAATTAGAAGTTGTAGTCCAATAACAATTCCCTGTAGAAACATTGAAACATCTGCATCCTACTTATAGCAGTGGAATAGCTGCATCTTTTTTCTGCATGCTTGGGGTAGGCAGTTGGGAATTGTTATGACAGCTGTCTGTTAAAGAAGGGGTAGTGAGATTTCAAAATATGGAGCTCTGCTTGAGCTTATCTTTCAGATAGTCTGTGCAGGCTTGCAACAGCATAACCACGTTCTTTTAAACTGTTTGACCTAATGTGTTTTAACATGTGCTAGTCATGTAGGTTTCAACTCAAAATCCTCTTTTTTCATGGATGGAAAGATTGAGTCCTAGAAAAATTAACCAGAAGGCAGAATAAATCTCTTATTCTAGAAGTTTCTTAATTCACAGGAACAATGATAAAGAAAGAACTATCAACTAGAAATAACCATCAACTAGTTTGTTCTCAGGAAAATAAGCATTGAACTAAGGGTTAGAACTTGTTGGTCTCTTCCTCAGTGTTTTTTCTTTTACTAAACCCCTCACCTCCCTGGTTAAAAGTTAGAGAAGTGAAGCCATATTATTACATTTCTACTTCATTCTCTGGGAAGTTCAAATTCCACTAAATGGGAAAAGGACACGTGTTTTCACTATACATGTAACTTGATTCTAGCTATAAAAATTGTACATATTTTGTCACACTATTGACAGAATGATTAGTTTCTCACTTAAATATATGCAACTTTTATAACCTTTTGATTATGTGAAAAATATAATAGAAACTGCAAGATGTTTTATTAGGGTATACTATAAAATACTTGAAGTCTTAAATTGCAGATAACGAGGGATATTAATATTTAAACTTCATTGAGCAGTGTTGTTTTCTTCCAGAAGTTATATGTAATTTACATATAAACACATATACATACATATATGTATACATATATACACACATACATACATATATGTATACATGTATACACACATACATACATACATGTATACATGTATACACACATGTACATACATATATGTGTACATATATACACATATACATATATGTATACATATATACACACATATACATATATGTATACATATATACACATATACATACATATATGTATACATATATACACATATACATACATATATGTATACATATATACACATATACATACATATATGTATACATATATACACATATACATACATATATGTATACATATATACACACATATACATACATGTATACATATATACACACATATACATACATGTATACATATATACACATATGCATATATGTATACGTATATACATGTATACATACACATATATACATATATACATATTCATATATGTATACACGTGTATACATATATAGGTACACGTGTATACATATATGTATGCATTCATATATGTATACACGTGTATACATATATGTACACGTGTATACATATATGTATGCATATATACATGCGTATATAAACATATGCATGTATGTATACATATACACATGTATATATACACATATATGAATGTATGTATACATATACACATGTATATATACACATATACGCATGTATATATACACATATACACATATATGCATACATATACATATGTGTGTGCATATACACGCATATACATATGTGTGTGCATATACACGCATATACATATGTGTGTGCATATACACGCATATACATGTGTGTACGTATACACGCATATACATGTGTGTACGTATACACGCATATACATGTGTGTACGTATACACGCATATACATGTGTGTACGTATACACGCATATACATATGTGTGTACGTATACACGCATATACATATGTGTGTACGTATACACGCATATACATATGTGTGTACGTATACACGCATATACATATGTGTGTACGTATATATGTGTATATACGTATATACACATATATATACACATATACATATACACGTGTGTGTGTGTGTGTATATATATATATATATATATATATATATATATATATAATTTTTTTTTTTTTTTTTTTTTTTTGAGACAGAGTCTCGCTCTGTCGCCCAGGCTGGAGTGCAGTGGCACGATCTCGGCTCACTGCAAGCTCCACCTCCCAGGTTCAGGCCATTCTCCTGCCTCAGCCTGCCAAGTAGCTGGGACTACAGGTGCCTGCCACCAAGCCCGGCTAATTTTTTGTATTTTTAGTAGAGACGGGATTTCCCCGTATTAGCCAGGATGGTCTCAATCTCCTGTCCTCATGATCCGCCCGCCTCGGCCTTTTTTTAAATGACTTATTCAGTTTAGTTACATCCTGAGGTACATTTAGGAGTAACAGACCCACTACTTGTTACTCAGGGTTCTGGCTGGGCACAGTGATATGCACCTGTAGTCCCAGGTACTTGGGAGGCTGAGGTGGGACAATCACTGGGGCCAAGAAGTTCAAGACCAGCCTGGACAACATAGTGAGACCCCATCTCAAAAACAAAAAGTTCCACTGCCGTTGGTTATGATTCTATCTCTTCCCTTGCAGGATGATTTGGTCATGGTCCATGATGCTTCTTAAGCACAGATGAGGGTTCTCCTAGCCAGTTTTCCTTGTAGCATTAATTAAAGACAATTCTTGTAAGCATCCGATGGTTTCATATCCATTTCTTCTTTTTTTCTTTTCTCCCTTTTTTCTTTGACTTTTTGCTTTCTTTCCCTCTCTTTATCTTTCTTGCATCTCCCTGCTTTATTCCCTAATCTTTACATCTGTTATATTCTTGTGCTGCCAGCCAAAGCCGGTATTTACCAATGAACCTAGCCTTTTGGATTGACTTTGAACTTAATGATTGATCATATCTGCTTTAGCTGTTGGCCCTGACCTAAAAAAGATATACATTAGCCCAAATAGATCAGTTTAATTTTATTTTCCCTTGTAATCATTTCAGTGTTAGAAATTTTAGTCTGTCTTGTATTTTAGTCTGGGTTTAACCACTTCAGTATGCAAGCTAAATCAATTCAGCAGGAGGACAAATTATTTCAGACTTGAAGGCTAATTTTATCCCTGTTTGTTATTCTCTTTATATTGAGTAAGTCCTTTTATTAAAGGTATTAGGGGTTCACTTATCTGAATGTTCATTATGGGTGAAATAATAAGTTTAAGAAAAATATTGTTGTGATATTCTACTTTTAATCATCATATTCACAAATGTTCTACTAATCAGATTCAATATGTGGATAACCAGTGCTCAGTGAATTAGAATTAAGCAACATAAAGCCAAATAAAACTTTAACTCAAAAGCTAAGATAGTCATGTTACTTACTAAGGACAACTTGAAGACACTTGAAAGTTTGCAGAGTCCATTTTCAATTTAGTTCATTGAGCTGTTACTTTTTGCAAAGCCCTAGTGACGTGGCACTATAGGAGAATGCTGGTATGGCCATGTTTACTAAATGTTTGCAAAAACATTTATTAAAATGTATTGAACATTAATGTACTAACTGCCTATCAAATGTACTACACATTTAAAGGTATATTGTCTAGCTTTTTGACATATTGTACATCTCACCATTTTTTCAGCATCTGTGTTACTTCCTACTAACACGTTAATTGTGAAAGTTAATTTATTGTTCAATAAAAATAATGGATTTACTTTTTCAATTTCATATGGATTGTGAATTCAAAAATTGAAAGCTTACATTTTCACTTATTAACAGAATCTGAGGATATTATTTTGTGGGCTTAAAGTAAATTGCAGAAAATGTATTTCTTTTCAATTTAGTTAATGAATAACTTGAAAATGAAGAAACTAAGACCAGGACACACACACTCCAGAAAAAGCACATAATCTTTATTGCATAAAAGATCAGTTTTTCTAGTTAGAATTTAACTTTTATCTTACTTTTAAATTAACCATGGATTTTACTCTTATTAGAAAAGAGCGGTAGGCCTGGCGTGGTGGCTCCATGCCTGTAATTCCAGCACTTTGGGAGACCAAGGCGGGCAGATCACCTGAGGTCAGGAGTTTGAGACCAGCCTGGCCAACATGGTGAAACCTCGTCTCTACTAAGAATACAAAAATTAGCTGGGTGTGGTGGCACGCACCTGTAGTCCCAGCCAGTCGGGAGGCTGAGGCAGGAGAATTGCTTGAACCTGGGAGGCGGAGGTTGCAGCCAGCTGAGATTGCACCACTGTGCTCCAGCCTGGGCGACAGAGTGAGACTCCATCTCAAAAGAAAAGAAAAGAGCTATAAAACTATAAAGGAATGTTTTGTTTTCTATAAAATAGACATAGATAAAATTATTGAAAAATCCCAAGTATTCATTTAGAATGTTGCTAAGCATTTTTCTAGAAAATTGGCCAATCTAATTTAAATGACTGAATATGTTGTTGCTTTCTTATTTTTGATAACTCTCATTGGGTTTTTTCATTTAATACTTGTGGATTAGTTTTCTCAATAGGAAATATGCAAATACTAAATTATCATGGTTTCCTTCTTAATAATGTGAAAATATCTTAATTGAATTTAGAGTAGCTTAAAGCAAATTGTAACATCAAAAAATTTTTTAAATTTTATTTCTGATTATATGGTTTGATAAATTAATATAAACATCAGGATTTGCTTTTTTTCTTTGCTAACATGACAGTGTTAAAGCTCTACAATTTTGCTTTATTGAGAAAAAGATGGAAAATATAATATGACTTTGGTTGTTTTTCCTTATTTACTTTTCATCTTCTGTCAATATCCTCATTCTAGGAGAAATTTTTTTTACCTGTGTTGCAGAGGGCTTTTCTGTCACTACTTTGGAACAAATTTGATATTGTTTATTTTTAAAGAAAATTGACTAGTACTGTATTAATTGTCCAGGCTACTATTTATATTTATTAATTGCTATTTTCTGTAGTTGTGTGGCAGATTCATAAGAATCTGTTTGAAGAAATAAGTTTATTGTTTAATGCACCCAATTTATTGGTCAAAACCAAGAAAGCAGTGAAATTAAAAATTAAGATTACAGTAGTTTAAAAAAAAATCTTTTGACTAAAGTTCGGTTAAGCGTCAGTAGTTGCACAGATCAAGTCACAATGATAAAATCATAAGCAGTCTATCACTCATCCAGTGAGATCTGTTGTAGTACCATGCCAACAGTAGGTCCTGTGGCCGGGCCAGACAGTTCCAAGAATCTCCCTGGGGAGAAATAAAGAAACACACACACACACAAGTCAGCTCAGCTGTTCCTGTGACCCAAACAAGCTGAAAGGGTGAGGAAAGGTGGCCTTGCCAGCTTGCTGCAAGACAGGCAGATTAATGAGATAGACAAGGGTAAGAGGCAGCCTTATTAATTACAGAAATATAGCTATGGCTGCTTCTCTGCTCAAGCTCTTTTTATTACTTACAATGTAAGTAGCATGCTATGTGGAGCAGAAGTGGGAATGTAAACTGCAGTAGAATGAATGCTTTTTGGTAATTTGCAAACTTTTAAGGCCAGAAATTACCTAATAGATCTTCTCTTCTTTATAGGAGAGTAGAATTAATGTATGAATTAATAGACTTGATTAAACCTAGTAAAAAAATCGTTCAGATAACCATATTTCCCAAAATAGGATTATTCTCCTCCTATGGTATCAATAATTTTTTTAGAAAAACCATAGACAACTAATAATAATGATCAAACCACTTTAAAAAATTGTTATTTCACAGTAAAGATAGATGTTCTCAGCTGAATGCCTGGAAAAGACTGTAGATAAATGTTGAGCCTGTTTAGATTTTAGCAGCAATGTGATTTAGGGGACTGAGCCCTGATCTGAGCCTATTCCTGTCACTAACCTAAGGCATGTTCATAACTTCTCTGAGCCACCAGGTTTCTAATATGTAAAATTGCAATAGTAATACATACCTTAAGGATTGTCAGCAGTAATAGGCTGCAGAAAATGATACTCATTATTTCCAAGTTCCTGCCTTAATCTTCACTGTCGAACTCAGGAAGCAATGCATTTCACGACTCCTAGAATTTATTTACTAAAGAAACAATAGAGTTGAGTAAATATATTACAGATTTTCATATGCTTTCTTAAGATAAATCACAAGCCTCCAATCTTTTTTGGCTTAAAGTATTCATGATATTTACTGAGGAGACAAGAATGTAAGATAATGTTTTCTCCTCTGTGAAAGGATAGGAATAGGCAATGAGGAGTGAAACAGTGCGGGTCCCTCCTCCAGTTGCTGAGAGTTCAGTGGAGGAGTCAGGAAAGTAAAGAAGCAGTTATCACACAGTGCAGAGATGCTATAGAATGGTAGTCACAGGGCAGAGGCAGAGCTCAGCAGAAGGTTGGAAATAATGATGGAGAGACTGGGGCAGAGCTGGTGAAGGTTTCCCAGAGGACAAGCATCCTAGATGCATCCTCAAAATTAAATGTTAAAAAAAAAAAGGTATATTTGAAACTTTGAGAGATTCTTAGTGATTTAGGTGTCCAGAATTTTTCTATTGCCACTTGCTGTTTTTAAACTATATATAAGATTCATTGTTTAAATATGAAAGAGTATGAAGAAATAAAATTATTCATAATCTTACCCCAGAGATGACATTTCACTTTGCATCATGTATGTATACTTTGACTTAACAGAATTAAAATTATGTAATATGTACCACTTTGTAAGGTTTTTACTTAATATCAGAGTAGTTCTATTTTCTCATATTATTTTAAAACATTTTTCATAGCTGTATAGAATTTATTGTATGGGTCAGCCATAATTTGTTTAATCAGTCCCATAACATAGGGTCTCAGTATATGTATTGGTTTTCTACAGCTGCTGCAAATTACCTCAAATTTAATTGATATGTAATAACTGTACATATTTATGGAGTACAACGTGATGTTTCAATACATATATACAGTTATGTATCAATTAAAAATAAAAGAAAACCTTAAAAATGAAAAAAATCCCACAAATTATCTTACAGTCTAGTATGTCAGAAATCTGACAGAGGTCAGATAGATTTACTTCTGCCTCCGTCTTCTACTATTAAGACTCTCATGCTTATATTAGGCCCACCTGAACAATCCAGAATAATCTCCCTGTCTCAAGGTCAATTGATGAGCAACATTTAATTCTATCTGCAACCTTACTTTCCCTTTGCCAGGTAAAGTAACATATCACATATTTAGGGAAGTAGGACACCGATAGCTTTGAGGATAGATATTCTGCTGCCACAATGTATTTTTTTTCAGTTTTATAAATAATACTGTTTAATAATAATGATGCTCTAATGAACTTCCTTTTACATAAATCTTTAGTCATATCTCTATTTCTTTAAGGTAAACAAATGGCCAGGTTTTCTCTGTAAGGAGAATAATATTCTTTTTATTTCTTCATTACATATAACTCAATATTTTATATTAATATATACCTAGTAATTGCTTGATTTAGGACTTAAAGAGTAATATAGACTGGTATTACTTAAAATTGGTGACTGGCTTATTTTACAGATTATCGGGTTTCTACCCAATGTAGTAATTTTCTTGCTACTTCTGGCAAGTATAGACTTAAGACTACTATGTAGAAGTGTAAAATATTATTGGCCAGAGATTAGTTGAAAGTAGAAGCTGATGAAGATACAAAGAATTATATTTATTTTCAGTAAAAATGATTATAGAGAGTTTTGTAAATATTGGATAATAAAAACAACAAATGAGATTTGGCCTTTAAAAGGTTGTTTATGGCCAGGCCTGGTGGCTCACACCTGTAATCCCAACACTTTGGGAGGCCAAGGCGGGCAGATCACGAGGTCAAGAAATCAAGACCATCCTGGCCAACATGGTGAAACCCCGTCTCTCTAAAAATACAAAAATTAGCCGGGCGTGGTGGTGGGCACCTGTAGTCCCAGCTACTCAGGAGACTGAGGCAGGAGAATGGCTTGAACCCAGGAGGCAGAGGTTGTGGTGTGCCAAGATGGTGCTACTGCAGTCTAGCCTAGTGACAGAGTGAGACTTGGTCTCAAAAAAAAAAAAAAAAAAAAAAGGTTGTTTACCACTGAAGCGTAAAGTCGGCCTCTACTCACTTTCTCTGTATAATAGTATATGACTACCTTGCAAATATTCATATAGTTTACAGCAGTTGTAAAATATAGGGTAATTTGTTAGAGTATAAGGCTATATTTATACTAATATATCTTAAAGTTTCTCATTGCAAGATTCTGCCAATACTTTAAATATATAGATATATAAATCCTGAAAGAATAAAGTAATAATTAAAAATACATTTTAAAAACTATCAACAAATGTTATATTGATAACAAATTTGGGGTTTTAACTGATGGTGATATATAAATAGAAAATAAGTAAATTGTCAGATATATATGATCTGCAGAAAGATCTAATAAGCCTAATAAACTTTAAAATGAAATAATATGATATGAGCCAACATTTGGTTTGCTTTTGCAAAAATAAGAGCAATTCTTTTATCTAGTTTATGTTTGTAAATATATCTAAAACCACATCACAGTCAACATTTAAGTTATATTGCTCAATTTGGAGTTTTTATTTTAATTATTGAATCCCGACTTGTATTTTTATAAAGTAAACACTTTGAACTGTTCACAAGAAAAATGGTTTACTATTATATATTTATTTGAAATCTGAAATAATTTTAGTTATTTTTATTGAAATATAAACAGATCATAGCTATGTGGGTCAAATCATAGTAGTATGTGTCACAATATAGAGTTAAGTTGCATCAGTTATTAATATAATATTATAAAATTTTGGTTACTTGTGAGAATTTCAGATAGAGGAAAACACTATATTCAAAAGATTGTCTGTGTTGACAAACTTCTTTGATGTTATGCCATTGTAAACATCACATTATTAGCAAACAATGTTCACAAAAAGTGAAATTAGTACTGTGCTCTCTTGCAATTCTGTCCTGTCAGGTAAAGAATAAACATTCAAAAGTAGGATAGGTTTTTGTCCTGTCACTAATTACAGGTACCCTGCTAAGTTGCATGTTAAGTAAAAACTTAGAATGGGCTGGACACAGTGGCTCAAGCCTGTAATCCCAACACTTTGGGAGGCCGAGGACGGTGGATTACCTGAGGTCAGCAGTTCGAGTTCAGCCTGACCAATATGGTGAAACCTTGTCTCTGCTAAAAATACAAAAATTAGCTGGGTGTGGTGCCATGCACCTGTAGTCCCAGCTGCTCGGGAAGCTGAGACAGGAGAATTGCTTGAACCTGGGAAGCGGAGGTTGCAGTGAGCTGAGATCACACCACTGCACTCCAGCCTGGGTGACAGAGTGAGACTCCTTCTCAAAATAAATAAATAAATAAATATAAATAAAAACTTAGAATGGTTATATCCATAAGCATTTTCTCCCATGAACTGGGCAGGCAGCAGAATGTGGGCATTTGAAGCAGCCTGCCCAGATGGCACTGTTACTTCTCCAGAAGCACATGGATCCTCCATGGCTTATTGCTAAGTCAGTGCAATCAATCTGTCAGTTGATATCTGCCAGATCAGTCTAATAGAGTTTCCAAGCATTCCATCAACACAAGGCTGAGAGTGGGGTGGTGATGTGGGATACGAAGCAGGGGCAAACTGACTCTGGAGGTTCCTGAAATTAGAAGGAAAAGGATTATTGATCACTGGTCTGTTCAAACCATCTCTCTCCCACTCCTGCCTTATTGAATCAGTAAGAAGGAGAACCATGAGACAGACCTCATTCAATGACAAGAATAAACATATACTACATCAGTGATACTGTCACTTCTATTCCTTCCTTGCCAAGGAGAAAGAAAATCTGGAATTTTTTTAAAGGATTTGGACAAATTATAAAATGGTCTTCACAACAGAATGATAGGCTATTTCCTCATGGAATTAGAATAACTAACCTAAGCGATGGTCACTGGAATAGAAGAAGCTGTAAGAAGAAGGACGTCTACCCTCTGGTGCTTAAAAAAACTCCTGCTCAAAATCTAATAATTTCTTGCCCCACCATCACCGTGATACACACAAGGAGTGAGGGCCTCTACTTCCCTTTTTTATCCCCTTTTTTCTATCCCTGTTGTGAAAAGTCCCTTTTTTACATTCCACTGTAAGCCTGCTCTGGGTGTATTTTCATTGATTCTAGAGCCCTCAGTGGAGAAGAGAGTTTATTGGCTTTGAGGCTGTAGGACTGGCTGTGCTCCTTATCCCCCTTAAGGGGCAGGGTACTTTTGGGATATAACTTGTAACAGACTGGCTGCCCATCCATCTGCCCATCTCTGGAGGTGTCTAACTAAATATTTGTATGACTTTTGTATTTTATGAATTTCACTACTAGTGACAACTTATTTAGCAGCAAAAGTGCTAAACTAGACAAAAGACTTTATCAAAAATGAAAATACTTTTTTTTGCAAAAAAATTTAAAGTGTTAAATATGAATAAGGGTTTACATTTTGTTCTGTGTGTAGCGTGCATAAACTGAGTAAGAATTTCCATAACAGTCTCTTTTTTTACTCTAAATCTGCATGAGAATGGACTGTAGAGCTATTCTGTTGAGTTAATTATACCCTAAAATGTTTAGTATTGCCTCTTATCAATCAAGTTTGCATTTTCATAAGGTATTTTTGATGACTGAATGATTTAACATACGCAAAACACATCTGGACACTACTTGGCATTTAGTTAAGTGCTCAAAAATATTACTTCTTTTCCTCTTTTATCAGGAAATTATTTCTGCCCTCAGTTCCAACTCTGCAAGTGAGTCTCTTAGATTCATAGAAAATACTCAATGACCATTAGCCGTTATTCTTTTTGTTTCTCTATTCTGTATTTTCTTATGAAGTAGCTTTAAATTTTCATAATAAAGAACAGGAAATGAAAAGGGCATTTCTAAAACCAATTCTACACACTTAAAGAAAAGTAGAGAGTTAAGACAATATAGTCAATTCAAACACACCAAAACATTTAACTCAGAAATATCTCCCTAATTCTTTCTATTTTTCAGAATTAGCCAGATGGTTCAATACTTCTCGGTGGGATCTGAGAATTAAAATGAATGTCATGTAGTACCCCCTAAATAAATGTATGCTGACTGATAGATAATTGCATTTCTTCTTCAGATCACACTTCATATATACATATAGATTTTTTTTGCTGTCAGCTGTGAAAGGTCCTACCGGTCTGCTAATAATTGAGCAAGCATGTTTTAGTGCTGCATGTATGCATTGAAATGAACCAAGTGTAATTATAGGCCTCTCCCTTTGAACATCAAAGGGCACAGCGCTGTCAATATGCCCGCATCAAGCCAGCAGCCTAATTTACTATTTAATAATACATTTGTGTGTCAGACCTCTCTTTGCCCAGGGCTGTTACAGTTCAACTAGTTCCTCTGCTGTTAAAAAATTGATCATCTTTCTTTCCTGATATTTGGAAAAGGAACAATAAAATTTATCTCTGTCAATTGAAAGGTCTGTTCACTTTAACCTTGACCTGTTTATTTCAGAAGTGTAAGAGGGCTTAAACACATGAAGAAGCAGTAAAGTAAAAGAAACCTTAAAATTAGTGATTTAGGAAATAGCTGAAAGTAGAAGATGGTTTCTATACAAAACATTTGCTCTGGAGTGATATCTATACAAACTGGGTCACAAAACCTGACTTTTTTAAAGTGTTGTTGAACCAAATACGTTAGAATCTCTTGAAATGAATCAGAATCCTGGGTAGGAGGAGGCTGGAGCTGGACAAAGAGGAAAGACAACTGGGAATTTTGCATTGGGAACGATCTTCAGATGATTCTAATTCAAACTAAAGTTTGAGAACCATGTTGCTCTAAATGTTTTAGCAGCTAGTACAAAAGGGAAGACATGTTTTATTCCATGATTCACGAGGTAGAAGAGAATTAATTCCTCAGAGGAGGACAAGAATTCCTATGTACTAAGGCCAGAGATAATTTTTCTCTGGGTGCTTCGGTGGTAATATAATATTCATTAATATTTATCTTTTCAGAGAAAGTTTTTTGTAATAATTGGAACTCATAGTTATTGGTTTTGATGTCTAGAACAGGTAAGCCATGCCATAGAAGTGCTTCATCCACATTGTAGAAGCGGGGATCAAGGAAAAAATATACCAAATATGCAATATTTGGTACAGAGATTCTCTCTGTACTTCTTACATGTTAGATGACTGAATAAAGCCCATTACTTTAGCACCTTGTTTGCAGTGTTGTTTTCTGTTTCACCTACTCTCTGTTTTTCTACAAGCCCACTCTTTTCATCGGGAGATGAAAGCATTCATTTGAGAGAGTAGGGAATTTCAAGTGAGGTTAGTCTGTGTTTTCCTCAATCTTTGGGTACTGGCAGTCCTGTTGGCCTTCCTAGCTCCTGTTCCTCCAGTGATCCTTCTTCCCCACTCAGTTCTTTTGCCTCATGAGCTGCAGTGCACAGAGCTCCTTTTCCATTTCATCATCAGCCCCCTGCCTGAAAGGCAACTCTTAAATGTAGTCACAATTCATATCACTGTCATCTAGAAAGTCAAAATCAAGAAATTCCTTCCTGGCTATAATACCTGTCTCTGCCACTATGGTTTTTCTAGTCAGGCACCTGAATAGATGTTTATCATCCTAATTATGACTAACAGTCTTTGTGGTTCTTTCCAGTTCTCCCCATGTATGATCCTTGGCTGATTTTAAATGCTTTCTCTAGCTAAACCCTGTGATAACTTGCATCTTGAATTCCTTGCCCCTTTGTATTGTTTTCAATCTTGGGACATGAGAAACAGTACTGTGGCTAATTGGCATCACTGATTAACTATTTGGACTGTAAGGTGGAGCTCATCGCTGCCTTCATGTTCCAGCAGCTCTTTACCTTTACTGCTGTCATAGAACTCAGCCCACCAGTGTGTCCTTGTTATATGTATGGCGGTCACCCTCAGTGTTATGGGCTCCCACCCTCCCTGAACAGTCCCCAGATATTGCCTTTGTATCTTCTGCTACATCTGGCACATAGTACGTCCTGAATAAGTGTATCTTAATTGCATCTTATTGAGACATTTGGCCATGATGTACTTATTTTCTATGAAAATGTCTAAATATTTGTTTAATTGAATAGTTAGGCTTGTAATTTATTACTGTGACTTATTTGTAGTGTTTTAGGCAACCAGAGGTAAAGGACATAGATTAATTTAAGAAAATACGAAGTTTGGCGA